>NC_000009.12:107917521-108069036 GCF_000001405.40 Homo sapiens
ACAAGTCAGAAACAGTACAGAGCAGCATGGACATTGTGGCATAAGAGCAGAACAGAATGGCCATCTCCAGAAAGGAAGGAAGAACAAGCATCATGCTGTCATGGGTATGGCAATGATAGAAGCTGTGATTGATGTCTGGACCTAGGCACCAGCGCAGGCAGGGAAGCAAAGAGCAGACCACAGAGCCCTGTACGATGCACATGAGGCCTCCCATGTGAGTGGGTGGAAATTTCAAGGGGACTGAAAGACTTGGGGTAGAAGCAGAGAAATACTTTTTCATAATAGTTGTCATGGTAGCCTTATGGCTCTTAATTGAGTATGGCTTTGCCAACCCATGATGCAGGCAACAAAAGATTTGCTTAGAACAGGTAAACAAGACAGGAAGGGGAGTTGTTTGCCTCTGTATGCAAACCAAAAACCTTAAGCACTTCAACATGCTAGATGATAATGTACATAACTGATGTGGTCATTGATTTCAGATCAAGAAAGCAGTTACGTTAGATTTACAGGTTCACTCTAAGTGTGAGTCCAGTCCCTAGTGACATAAGTTCTTACCTTGAGAACGTGCATTAGAAATAATGGTAGCAATTTCATCAGTGGACTTACATTTTATAGCTTTTGTTTTTCTTTTTTCCCCTTTTATAGTGATCAATTTTGATATAAATTTGCAGAAGTATTTAACAGAGAAAGCTTAAAAATATTTTTTAAACAATGGCCCATTTACCGTAGTAAAGAGGACCACTTATAGTTTGAGAACCATTGCCACAAAACAGAGGCTGAGAAACTACAGCCCACAGGCCAAACCTAGCTCATCTGTTTTTCTGCAACCTATGAGCTAAGAATGGTTTTTATAATTTTAAATAGTTAAAAAAAATAGAGAATACTATTTTGTGGCATGTAAAAATTATATAAAATTCAAATTTCAGTATCTATAAATAAAATCTCACTGGAAAGCAGCTGGGCTCATTCATTAACATATTGCTGACTGCTGCTTTCATCCAACAGTGGCAGAGTTGAGTAGTTGCAACAAAGACCACTGCGCCCGCAAAGCCTAAAATATTTACTATCTGGTCCTTTACAGAAAAACTGTATGCACCCTGCTCTAGAATGGTTACTACTCGCTTGGATCACATCCTGGTAATCCAGTCTGGAGCTATTTGAAAGTCATCAGAACCAAAGTATTTCTTCAAAAATTGTCTTTATAAGCTGTGGGCTAATCCCAATAGGTCTGTCCCAGTTAGTCCCAGTTACTGGTGTCAGCTACTGTCCTGCTCGTGGCTTCCCCATGGGTGCCCCGTCGCTGCCAGCACGTGGCTTGGCTCTCCCCCGTCTCCCAAGGAAAACCGCCTGCTGCCTTTATTGTTCTGGGCATTCCCATTCACGTTTTCACCAAGCCTGACCCTGCGTGGCTTGTAAAATCTGATGGGATCTCTGCCCAAGGAGGCATGGCTGCAGGCACGTGGAAGTGCCACTCAGAAGAGGTGGTAACATGTGAGTAGAGAGCAGTCTGCAGAGAGATGGGTGGCACCTCGCTTTCCGTACACTTGAGCTATGATCATTGAGCTCCTGGGTTTCCTGAACATGAAACTCACACACTGCTTAAAACAACTCATTAGCATGCCTGGGGAGAGTTGAACAGTTCAGGCTTCTCAAAAGTCCAGTGTTTCCCTAGGAAGGAATTTACTAGGGTGGTGGTAGGGCTGGGGTAAGAGACTCCTCTACATGACCAACAGCATTGCATTAGGTACCTTGGCAAGAGCCAAGCGAGGTAAACAGTTCCATTACACATACGCCACATGAGGAGTGAGAGATGTCAGAGCTGGGCCAGTATGGAGGCAGCTGAGGTACACTGGAAAGAATACCAGTGCTTGATGCCAGGAGGATCTGTCACTTACCAGCTGTGTCTTTTGGACAATTCACACATTGCCTCTTGGAGCCTCCTCTGTGATCTAACTCATGGGGCAGTTGAGAGAATCACATTAAATAAAGCAAATGAAGAATTTTGCCATCTGCAAAGCCCTCTGCAAACGCGAGGGGTTATTACAAGGCAGCTTGTGAGAATCATTCTTTTTAGTGCCGTGTATTGACAAGGGAGCCACTCTCTGGTTAGTACTGGGCCAACAAAGCTTGGCTTTTGACGTCTATAAAAATCAGTTTAGGTCTTTCCTTACCTAGATATTAGGTTGTAAGGAATCTTTAAAGCCCTTTAGACATTCTGTCCTACCCCTATGCCAGCTTTCTTTGCCATTTAGCTTCCTCTCTGCAACATCTCTGCCAGATGGTTTGCCAGACTCTGCTTACATACTTTCAGGGATAGGAAGCTCACTCCTTGTTAAAAAACATCCCTCTTGTCTTTGCTTAGCTCTGACCACTGGAAAGTTCTTACTGGGCTGAAATCCACATGTTGATCTTTCACATACAAGTCTTATTTTCATCCCTCCTGTTCACCCAGAACAATTCCAACAAATGCATTCTGCAACTCGGTAAGATCAATCCAATTTTCTTTATAAATTACATGCACTTTTTTATTTCCCCTAAACTAGGGATTATCAAGCTTATTAGTCCCTGAACTCCTTTATACTCTTAAAAACCTTGAGGCCCCCAAACATCTCTGTTTTTTTGTGGATATATAGTTACTGATATTTACCTGATTAGAAATTAAAACTAAGAAATCTAGAAAAATATTAATTCAGTTAAGAATAAAATTAATAAGTTCATTGTATGTTAACATAAATAAAAACTTTTATAAAAAATAACAGTGGAGTCTTAAAAATATTTGGTGGGAATGATGGCTTTGCATTTTTGCAGCTCTCTTTAATACCTAGCTTAATAGAAGACAACGGGGTTCTTACATGATATAAAGTGGGAAAAGTGGGGAGTATTTTAGTAGCCTTTTTAGATCGTTGCAGGTGTGGCATGTAATCTCAAGAAACCTCTGTACACCCATGGAAGTTTAAAAAGGTAAATACCCATGGAGAGTTTAAAAAGGTAAATAATTCCCAGGTATTGTTATAAAATTATTTTGACCTCATGGAACCCCAAAAAGGGTCTTGGGGACCTTAGGGGTCTTCAGATCACGTTTCGAGAAGTGCAGCCTTAAGTCATGATTCTTACAACTTTAGGTTTGTTCCAGTGGCAGCTTTTCAGAAATGGGAACAGGAGCCCTTCTTCCATGTCTCCCACCTACTTCTTTTCTTTAATTCTGCTTACTATTACAGAATGGATTTCAAGACAAAAATGTGACCACCAGCCTGATGTTTTTCAGGTAGAGATTGAATTGATCATATCTCAGAATTTTATTCCAGCTGGCATTGTGCCTTTATGTAGTATATGACCTTGGGTACTCGAGAAAGATACATCAATACCTATTGTAAAAAGAACACGACCCCAAGAAGACAACACAGACCTGATAAAATACAACTCCCACTTTCCAAAATGTTAACTGGTGGGCCGCATCTGAAACATAGGAGTGTGGCCTTTTGTTTTGCCTGGTAACTCAGTATAAGCTGTGACACTGACTTGTGCACATTCTGCCATCATGGTATGAGCTCACAGAACCAAAGTCCCTCAGGGGCAGGAAGGACAGCACCTCTCCCTCCTCTGCAGCTCCAGCTCTCTCTACAACACTTATCCATCTCTCAAGATGGGCATGAACCCAAACTTCTTTGTGAGTTTTGCTGATCAAAGTTTTTGTGGCAGAGTTTGAGAAGGGCACAACCCAGATATACTCCCTTCAGACCAGATCTCCTTCCCTTGGTTCACTGCCTATCTCTGTAGGAATAGTAGTCTCCAGGACCTACCATTTTATTTCCCATCTTTGCCCTGTTTATCATTTCTTCGTCCCTTCGTTTCTGATCTTTTGGTGTCACCAAGTTGCCAGGGGGTTGATTTTTCACAGCAGAGGCTTAAGGCAACGATTTAAGTACTATTCTTTTTGGTACAGCAGTCTCACCTCCATGTTCATATCTAGACCCTCATATACTACTCTAGGCAGTCAGTATATACCTTGGCATTCATTTCTATGCGCACACTCCAGATTTTACTGGAGAGCCCCACGTAGGTGAAGGAGCTGGGCCAAAGGATTTCTGTTTTCTCTTACAAACCTGGCTGATCTAGTTCCCAGAAAGCCATTTGTCCATGTTCATTTTCCTATTTGATGTATGTTGTGAATCATTAGAAAAGTGAGAGGGCTATTATATATTAATTATGTGCTATATGCCAGGGTTTCCCATACCCTAGCTAATTTAATTCTCATTATACAGGCAAGGGTTTTCATATCCCCATTTTACAGGTAAATAAACAGACTAAGAGAAATTGAATAGGATTGCCAGGTAAAAAATGCAGGACACAGGCTGGGCATGGTGGCTCATGCCTGTAATCCCAGCACTTTGGAAGGCTGAGGTGGACGGATCACCTGAGGTCAGGAGTTCAAAACTAGCCTGGCCAACATGGTGAAACCCCATCTCTAGTAAAAATACCGAAAATTAGCCATGCGAGGTGGCATGTGCCTGTAATCCCAGCTACTCAGGAGGCTGAGGCAGGAGAATCACTTGAACCCAGGAAGCAAAGGTTGCAGTGAGCTGAGATCATGCCACTGCACTGCAGTCTGGGCAGCACAGTGAGACTCTGTCTCCAAAAAAAAAAAAAAAAAAAAAAAAAGCAGGACATAAAGTTAACTTTGAATTTCAGATAAACAAAACATAATTTTTTTGTATAAGTATGTTCCGTAGAATATTTGGGACATACTTATATAAAAAAAGTTTCACTATTTATCTGAAAAGTTTGAATTTAACTGGGCTGTGTATTTGCATTTGCTAAATCCAACAACCCTGGAAGTGAAGTAACTGACAAGGCTGAACAGTGCAGAACTGCCAAGAACTGAAATCTCCTTTTTACTCTGCCTGGAGGCCTCTCACCCTAGTCTTGCAGTCTGATGTCAAACCCTAATGCAAAATGGAAAAATGTTTTCTCAGATTCTTGCTGGCCCATAAATATCCATAATCAAAACAGAGTCTTGTATGTGTGCCAGGTAAGGGGAGGAGAGAGGCACTTGTATATTTCTATTTTTACCGGATTTTAAGATCCTCACAGGCAGCAACTGCATCTAGTTTATCCTGTATCCTCAGCACATGCAGAAGGAACCCCCTGGAAGCTTGTTCAGTTGGACTGAAAAAGCAGCTTTTGGCCAGTTCAATTGAGGGTGCTGAGTTTGGGTGGCCCGTGAGCTCTAGCTATTCTCACCTCTTCTATCTTTGGCTTTCATTCTAATCTAGTTTTGAAGATGAGAAGGAGAATCTCCAAGTAGATATTTGTGTTCTTCTAACATCAGCACTGTAAGAGATTAATAAGGGACTTAGACCTGGCATCTAACTCTGGCCTTACTGGCTGGTAAATCCAGTTCCCAGATTTACCCCTTTGAAAATGAAGTGTTCTGACCAAATTAGTCTTAAAGCCCTTTCAAGCTCTGCCATCCCACAGCTGAAAAATTGTGGATGGCTCTGAAGGGAGAATAGGTATTTGGTAGTAATGACAACTATGTAGAAATGCTCCTGGGGTAGCATTGCTGTGGAAAATTATTTACAAGGCTGAGTTGTCATTTCTCTTCATGTAGACCAGGAATTAGGCTGGGAGTAATTCTGGTACACAGGCACCCTAAGATGTTGGTCTCATCAGTAACAAGAACAAAAAATATTAAGACTGTTTCTCTCACTACAAGCAATGACTAAGAAAAATGCCCAGGTGAATGTGAATATGTAGTGGAGATCTAAAACATTCATAGCTGGAAGATCCACCATTATTCTGCAGCTTCCAACATTGACCCGCTGGGGAGGCCAAAGTTCTCCTCTGAAAGTTATGGGTGAAGCACTGAAACAAAGTATCTCCTTTGGGTGACTGATGCTCTGGGGATGGACTGCTTGGTGGCTTGTTGCAGAGGTGAAAGTATAATATCTGCATCTCCTTCCTTCACTTTTCTGTTTAACACACAGACTTTCCTTATGGGGTCTACACATGACCCAATGTGGCTTGGCTAGGGCAGCTTCAGGTAACAGCTGCATTGCCTCAGGTGCTCCTTTTCAGTGCTGACACTATTTGCATCCAGCACCTGCTTCAGGCTTGTGCCCTGGGCTTGTTGATGCTCTATTCTCTCTAATAGAACTTTCTGGGATGAGTGGAATATTCTCTGTCTGTGCTGTCCAATATGGTGGCCATTAGCACACATGGCTACTGAGCACTTGAGGTGTGGCTCGTGTGACTGAAGAACTGAGGTTTTAATTTCTACATTTCAATTACTTTTAATGAAAATAACCACAGGTGGCTAGTGCTACCATATTGGACATTGTGTAGCTATAGCCCGATTTTTTCCCATGACTGAAAGAACCCCACCTACTGACCTACTTTTCTTTCCCCTAAGCCACTGTTTGAAACTCACCTGGGTCACTCTACAGACTGGTGGCACAGATCCTGGCTTAGAATTCAGAAGCTCAAGCCATCCTTGCATGGGCCCCACCCATCTAATCTGTTCTCTCATCTTTGGCAGTTCTCTTCTGTTCACTGCAACCTCCGCCTCCCAGGTTTAAGTGATTCTCATGCCTCAGCCTCCTGAGTAGCTGAGATTACAGGTGCACACCACCATGCCCAGCTAACTTTTGTGTTTTAGTAGAGACAGGGTTTTGCCATGTTGGCCAGGCTGGTCTCAAACTCCTGACCTCAAGTGATCCCCCTGCCTTAGCCTCCCAAAGAGCTGGGATTACAGGCATGAGCCACCATTCCCAGCCTGAAGCAATCTTCCTTCTATCTGAGCTACCTTCTCTTGTAGCATCTCCTTTCCTGCATTTAAAAATGTGTCCTCTTTTGGCCAGGTGTGGTGGCTCACACCTGTAATCCCAGCACTTTGGGAGGTCAAGATGGGCAGATCACCTGAGGTCAGGAGTTCGAGACCAGCCTGGCCAACATGGCCATCGCTACTAAAAACACACACACACACATTTGCTGGGTGTGGTGGTGCACACCTGTAATCCTAGCTACTCAGGACCCTGAGGCAGGATAATTGCTTGAACCCAGGAGGTGGAAGTTGCATTGAGCCAAGATCACGCTATTGCACTCCAGCCTGGGCCACAGAGTGAGACTGTGTCCCAAAAAACAAACAAACAAAAACAAGTGTCTCCTTTTAATCTGAAGCTGACTTCTTTTCCTGGAGTATCACGAATGTTGACTTGGTAAGGTGTTCTCTCCACCAAGGTCTTGCCTACTGGATATCACTGACCAAGCTTGACTATCCAGGAGATGCAGTGTCAGTCCCCTGTGTGCTTCTGCTCTAGGAACAGGAAAGAAATTGTCCGTTTCTACTTCTGCCAACACAAACATCTAGTGAGCCAAAACCTTTCTTAGATCTGAAGTGATTTTTCTTCTGATGTGGATTCTGCCATTGTATCATATTGTTTTGCTAAGTCATGTAATTTCTCTCAGGTATTTTAAATCATACTGTAACACTGCTCCTATACCAAAATGTCTCTAAGAAAACTGACTACCAAGGAAATGGAAATAAAAAAGAAAACTAGGCTGGGTGTGGTGGCTCACGCCTCTCTGTAGTAATCCCAGTACTTTGGGAGGCCAAGGCAGAAGGATTGTTTGAGCTCAGGAGTTGGAGACCAGCGTGGGCAAAATGCCGAAACCTAGCCTCTACAAAAAAACAAACAAACAAACAAACAAAAATTAGCCAGGGGTACTGGCATGCACCTGTAGTCCCAACTACTTGGGCTGAGGTGGGAGGATCACTTGAGCCCAGGAGGCAGAGGTTGCAGTGAGCCAAAATTGTGCCACTGCACTCCAGCCTGGACGACAGAGGGAGACTTTCCATCAAAACAGTAGTAACAATAATAATCAAGAAAACTAGCACTTAGATGAGCATCTACTTTTCTTCAGGGCCAGTTCTTAGCACTCAACTTGCATTATCTGATTTAATTTTTATAAATACGTTTTGCAGATGGGAGAACAGAGACTCAAAGAATGTATGCACCTCTTTTGAGATAAACCTGTAACTGCCACTGTTGGATAAAAACCCAGGTTGGTTGTCTCCAAAGCCCTTTATCTTTCAACTGTTGTAAGAAGAACTTATGGCAGGAAGTCATCCTGTACGGAGCAAAACCATGGCTCATGCAAACAATATCCCATCTACACGCATACACACTGGGAAAAAAAGTGAGTGTGTCAAGTAAAAGACATCCAGCTCCAAATCTTCTTCACCTGCAGTTTGTTCGAAGATGGATAATGAATATCATCTGAATTGCCAAAGAGCAAGAAGAGGGGGGAGACATCTGGCAGAGAAGAGGGATGATTCCAATTTGCTAGTTATTCTGGTGATGATTGCTCATGGGGCAGCCAGAACAGAAATATGGATATAAGCTTGAATTTGTTGATTTTAGTTGCAAAAGGGAACAGAGTGTGTGTGTGTGTGTGTGTGTGTGCGCGCGCGTGCTTTAAAAAGCAGATTGAAAGAGTCTTCTTACTCATAATAGTGTTTATGGGACATATTAGAATTCATAAAATGCTTTGTTCATTCTCTGTTTTGTTGAATCCTTGCCATAGTCCAGTAAGGATAGCATAAATGTGGCAATTTTGTAGTGGAGGAAACTGTGCCCCAAATTCAGTCTCAGAAAGAATAAAGCTTGCATTCACAAGCCAGTCTAAATGTCAGTCCTGTGCCACTTCATATTTGCCTGCAGTATTTCTAGATTTTGCTCCTCTGATAGTAAGTGTATAGGCAACTAAATAAATTTACTTAAGACTTGGAAAGGAGATTCATCAGGACATGTCTAAGAAAAGAAAAGGAATAAAGTTTAATGTATACAAGTCAAAATAAATAAAGTGATACGTCTTAGTAATGTAATATTAAATATAATTAGATTTCAAATAATTATGACATGACACTACTTTTATAAGTTTAGAAACAAAATCTAATAAGTACACATACTTTTTAGGAATACACATAGATACAATAAAACCATATACTAAGAGAATCAAGGGAATGAAGAATATAGGATTTAGGGTGATGGTTACTCTGTGTGAGAGAAGAGAGGAGAAAGAGTTTGTAGAGGAACCATGGAGTTAGATGGTTATTATGGAAGTTCTAATTTTAGTTGTTAGAGGTGGTTTTAAATGTGAATGCATACATTTAAAAAAATAACTAAATGGCTACTAAAATAAGTAAAAGTGAGTCGTGCAAAAACTAAGGATCAAAATATGTAATGAACCGTTAAGATTAATTGTGTTCTGTTAACCTCTAGTCCAGTAAGTAAAAAACAGCAACAACAATAATATAGGTCTCTAAAAGACAGTTGCACCTGGCTTAATATAATGGGACTTATTTCTCACATACAATATCAGGACGGTCCAGAGGTCCTCTTCTGTCCTATAGATGTGCCAACTGGATTATGTGTCATGTCAGGTAAGCGGAGGCAAAGAAGACAGAAGAAACACACTGACTTTTAACTACCTCAACCTGCAAAGAACAAATGTCATTTCTGCTCTTAGTTCATTGGCCAAAACTAGCTATATGGCCTCAGACTATTTGCTGGAGAAATTGGGTAATGCAGAGGAGGAAATGAAGATTTAGCAAGCACTATCTGTCCCTGCAACACTTCTTTTATTTTTTATTTTTCTTGTTAGAGTAAAGATGAACAATTCTAGGTAAGATTCTATTTTTACCTATCCTTCTTGTGAGCTTTAAGAGACAGATTAGCTTCGTAAAAAGAGCTTGGGTTTGGTGTCAGATATATCTGGGTTTGACTCGTAACTCTCCTCTAAATGACTTAGGTGAACTTAAGCAAGTCGTATCTCTTCTCTGGCCTGTTTTCTTATATGCAAATTGGAGATAATAATCCAGATGTTGCAGGATTAGTGTAAGGCCAAGGTTGAAAGATGTCCACTAACATGTTGGAATCTCAGTAATTTACTAGTAATTATTACCATGCAAAGCTGCTATGAGGTCATCGTTCGAGTTATTCAAATCTCAGTGTAGCTTTAGAGATTGTCAACAATATCTTCTTTCATCATTGCTTTAAAATGAAGCCACAAAGCCCTTGGTAGTGTTGCTATCTTGAACAGAATCTGCCTAGAACTAGGAAGGTATCTATGTATACCAGAGGCCTGGTACAAGTGGGATAGTTGTATCTTTCTCTGGTCATAATGATGCTTAAGATTTGTATTCTCTGAGGAACAAGTAAACATAGTGGGTCCAGTATGGTCTTCATAAGACTCATGGGCACTTTTTAGAAACTCTTTATATTAGTCAGGATAAACTAGGTTATGTGGCCATAACAAACATTCCTTAATGGCTTAACACCAGAGGTTTATGTCTTGCTTGCAAAAAGTTTACTGAAGATCTAGGAGACTTTCAAAGCCACTGGCTCTCCAAGTAGTGATTCAGTGGTCCATGTGTGAGCAGCTTCCTCTGTCCTGGAGCTAAACTATTTGGAAAATACAACCTGTTCAGTTGAAACGACAGGAGAAGAGGTCCTGGAGATTACGATTTGGCAATTGCTTTGGCCAGGAATTAACATTTACCATTTCTGCACACAATGCATTGGTTAGAATTAGACGATGCTGCCTAGCTACAGGAGTGGTGGGGAAATAGAGTCCTTTCTTGTGCCCAGAAGAAAAAGCAAGCTAAATATGGGTGAGCACTGGAAGTGTCTGCCAGACTCTGGTTCTCACTGATCCTCTGCCATAAATGGGCTGTCTTACATGGACAAGGGTACAGCAAGGTTGTCTATACATAGGACATGCTTCACAGTCCATATACATCAAGACTCCTTACTCTTTAAAATCTTTTGAGTGTTCTGCCTCCATGTTTTTGTTAATGTTGTTTCATTGTCCTAGAGTATACTTCCCTTCTATTTCTATATTTCCAAATTTTACCCACTTTTCAATGCTTCATCTCAAATGCCACCTCCTCTTTATCTCTTGCTGTGGTTATTTATTTATTTATTTTTATCTCTTCTACAGTATGTTATTAATCTCCTGAGATCCTCTGGCATGTTTATTTTTACCCCCTAAGTTTGTGTTCAAACATGTGAGTGAACCAAATTCAGAGTACTAAGAGCAACTTGTGAAACTTGGAATCACAGTCACAATCTTCATTCTGAGGATCAGGAAGTACAATTGTGTTCTTCACATGCTGTGAAGTTTGGCCTGCCCTCTGAACTCATAAAATTTGGCTGGAAATCGAGAAGAGTAAGAGCAGAGATGCAAATATGGCTTCCCCAAACCTCCTCAGGAGGATCTCTCCCTGGACTTAATGATGGCATTACCTCCTCAGGTCAGTCAATTTGTCTCGCTGGCTGGCTGTCTGTTCTGCGCCTGGGACAAGGGACAATTGGTAGCCGCTGGGCCAGACGGTGAGACCTGGGTCTGCATCAAGGTAGCAGCTCCTGGCAATGGCAAAATTCCCTTTTGAAAGTGCTGTTGCTTAACCATCTGCAGTGGTCTGAATGTTTTTGGCCCTCCTAAATTCATATGTTGAAATCTTAAATCCCACGGCAATAGTAATAAAAGGTGGGGCCTTTAGGGGGTGATCAGATCATGAGGGTGGAGCACTCATGAATGGGATTAATGCCCTTGTAGAAGTAGCCAATGTGAGCTCATTTGTCTCTTCCACCACATGAGGACAAAATGAGAAGCTACCACCTATGACTCAGAAAGTGGGCCCTCATCAGAACCTGCCCATGCTGCCACACTGATCTTGAACTTCCCAGCCTTCAGAACTCTGGGAAATAAATTTCTATTTTTTATAAGTAAGCTACTTAGTCTAAGGTATTTTGTTATAACAGCCCAAATGCACCAAGACACCATTCATCTGAAACTTGGTTATGGATCATAGCCTGATCTGGTGTTTAAGCAGTTTGTTAAAGTAGGCAGTGTTCCTAGGTGTCTTACACTTCTGGGGTCAGACACTCTGGTGACTGTTCTCTTAAGACTTTTCTTAGGAGGTTCTTTTCAGCAGCATTTCTGATGATGAAAGCATTCCCACAGATCTACACATGGGAAGGGAAGCCCTACTTGTTCTATGCCCTTGTGAAATCCTGCTTTGTGAACAGCAGCTGCATGAATGTGTGCAAACCTAACCAAGCTTTCAGGACCAATACATGAAGGAACAAACACCCATGGAACTTCCCCAACATGCTGGGCACTGTGCCAGTGTGTTCGCATGCTTTCTTCTACTTAATCTTTACAACAGCCCTGTAAGGTAGCAATTACTCGCCCTATTTTAGTAGGTAAAAAGAGACTGAGATTCAAAGAGCTAGCACCCGAGTCCCACAGGTTAGAAGGTACACCAGCTGGAGAGATGCATGAACCCTACATCATGGCTCATGTGACCTTGGTGGACCATTATTACATTCTGGACTCAAATTTGTCCTCTGTTAGGCCAGTGGATGTGGTCAGGCTGGAATCCTGAAACTGGTCACCCACTGGGCATCCCATCAGTTCTACCCCATCATCAGTGGGGTGCCTGCCTCTTTCATACTGTGACTTAGAGTCTGAGTGGAGAGCTTACCATGTTTACTATGACTTTAGTGACAATCTTCCCAGGTGTTCAGTGCCTGATGGGATACAGAGACTACATATATATTATCTCAGTTAAGGCCCATAACCACATTAAATGCAGGCAGAAGTTAAACAGGAGGAAATTGTGGCTCAGAGCTAAGGCAAGAGTTCAAGGACACACAGTTGTTTGGGGGTGATGCTGGGATAAGAAAATCCTTCCACTATCTAGGGACCCTCTGAGTAGCCACAGTCACAGTGATAAAAGCCAGAACAGAGGATGTAGACCCAGACAGTGATATTTGGGAGGGCCTATGCAAGAGTATCAGTTTCTCCTCTACTCCTTGGCTGTGAAATGGGAATAATAATTCTAATATTTCATGATGATTGTAAAGATGAAATAGGCATAATGTTGCATCAAAGCCCCAGCCCAGGCCAGCTGTGGTGGCTCACCCCTGTAATCCTAGCACTCTGGAAGGTCAAAGCAGGCAGATTGCTTGAGTCCAGGAGTTCGAGGCCAGCCTGGGCAAAATAGCGAAACCCCGTCTCCACTAAAAATACAAATAATTAGCCAGGCACAGTGGTGTGTGTCAATAGTCCCAGCTACTTGGGAAGCTGAGGTGGGAGGATCTGCTGAGCCCAGGAGGTCAAGGCTGCAATGGGCCGAGATGGCACCACTGCACTCCAACCAGGGCAACCAGAGGGAGACCCTGTCTCAAACAAAACAAAAAAACAAAAAAACAAAAGCCCCGGCCCAGCTCAAAAAACCCCAAAACAAACAAACAAAAAAAGCCCCAGCCCAGCTCCTGGCCTATAGGAAAATACCTTAGCTAGCATGGGCTTAAATATTTGGTGACTATCCATCAAATGTGTACCCTGATCATTTCTGGAACATTGGAAACAGACTGCTTTGGGCTCTATTGGATGGGCCCTAATTCCTCGTCACATGTGACTCTGTGATGGGGTGGAAAATGATAAGGTAAGTGGAAGAAGGTTAGAGAAGGAACAAGTAAACCACTTAGGGCTGTCCTTGCTTCTCTTTTATTTCTTCTTTGTGCAGTGGTTTGCACGGCGGCCATGGAGGGAGAAGAGAATTCATTCACGGCTTTGTCAGCATTTTGCCCTCGTCCAGAGAAGGGTGGGCTTTGCCAGAGCCTTGGGAAGCAGAACCCCTGGGCCTTCTGGGTAATGGGTGTATTTAAGTATGTATCTGGCTTTTCACAGCCAGCTGACTGATAAAAAGGACCTTGATAGCAAACCCACCCCAGCACTGGGTAGTTAAATGGCACTTTCAGCTGAGCTCATTTCTGGCACCAGAAACAGAGGATCATAAACCAGAACTCTAACCTCAAGATGGATTCTATTTGCGAGATACGAATGGTGGTTTCTAAGCCTTGAGCAGTGTTAAGCACCCCTGTTTCCAGGAGAAGTTTTGTTCAAGGCTGCAGTGGTCAAGGCTGCGTGGTGCTTCCCTGTTTGCATAGCAGGCTTCTTCGCATAAACACTTTGACCTCCTGGCAGCTCTGCAAGGTAGATAAGCTTGTCAGAGATTACCACTTGATTTTCTCCAAGAGGAAACTGAGGCTCAGTGAGGGCCAGGGCTTTGTTGGAGCTTGCACAGCTAGATCTGACCTTCTGCTATAAGACCCCTGGACTAGAATTTCTTCCTCTCATGATTTTGTTCACAGAATATAATTCCAGGAGGTTTTCTCACCTTTAATCAGTACTCTTGGACCTGGTAATCTAAAATGGGAAGTTGAGGCTTTAGAGAGATTACATTCCCTGCCCCAAACCACACAGCTAGTAAACAGCAAATCCAGGATTAAAATCCTGATTTCTGCATCTCAGTTCTTAATTGCTATGTCGGTGTTTCTCAAACAAGGATTATCATGATCCATTCTCAGAGAGCCACATGTTACAAAGTTTCAAAAATTTACATTTTTATTTTGATAACAATCTTTAATCTCATTTTGCCTATTATACATTAACAACTACTTTTAAAAATGTTGGTTAATAATTTGAAATGGAAAGACTTATTTTAAATGCATAAAACAAGATAGTCCTTGTTTCAGTTTGCAGATCCTGAAGTGGATGGAGACTGTGTCTCACGTCTGAGGTCACTTTCTAGGGTTCTATGAGGTTTTTTTTCCATATGAAAAAGTTTATATATTACACAAGTTTGAAGAATCTGAGCTGTGATTCACAGCTTCCCTATTGAGTTGTAGAAACATTTCTGCATTCTCTCCTTGAAGTCTGTGAGTGATTATTACAATCATTTTGCAGATGAGGAATCTGAAGAGAGGTTTAGATTTGTACCCAAGCTCACAAACCTAGGAACTCACTGATTCCAGCTTCAAACCATGCCTTGTGACATCCATCCAGGTTACCTGCTAAGAAAATGAGAAATTCAGGTTTTTAGCCAGAGGGTGACTAAATGTCTCTGATTTCTCCCTAAAAGATCTAGAGGAACATGGATTCAAAATGGGTAGAATCAGAGCTGAGGAATGTGACAAATGTCCTCTCCGTCAATGGGGGTCCTCCTAGCAGGAACACAAAATGATGTTTATCCCATTTGCTTTGGCCATTCACCTGTCTGAGCCATCTCCATCTCAAGGCTTCTACAAGGTGATAATTCCCAAATTCCATTGCAATGTTTATGATTCTGCAGCCAAAGCACTCAGTGTTCAGCTTTAAGCAAAGAATTGCAAATATTCACATCCATTTTCTTATCTGGACCGGTTCTCCCACCGCCTCCTGCATGTGGTCTTCACATGGCTTTTATGAATGCATGAAGTCTGTTCCAGCTTGTTCTAGTGTTGCAGTGTTTTAACTGCCATAATACAGTGGTATCAACAGATAAATTAACTAGATATGTTGAAAAAATTATGGGCAAGAATCCTGTTCTCCTCACTCAGCCTAATTCATCCACAGGGAGAATCTGCCGTGGGAGTTGCGGGGAGAAGATCTCTATGAAGTACAGACCAGAGAAATAAGCCAGTCCAATGATTCTATTATTCCTAAAGTTCTGGACTGTTTTCACTTAAATCAATGGCAGTTTTCTCTAAAGTTGCCCCCTCTCTGAACCTGGCAGTTTCTCCTTTAGAGTGTTTGCAGAGCTGCTTTCAATGGGACTTTCTGCTGTGAATCATGGCAGTTCAGGTTGCCGACTCATAATATTTTTCTATCGCTAAGGATGTCCTTGTCCAGATCTCAGATTGACTCTTCTCACTTCCCGAAAGGAGACAGTTTCTAAAGAACTATTAGAGTACTCACCACAAAAGGCCTTTTCTCCCCCCACCCCGCCCCCCACATTCCAGCATCCAGTGTTTTCCCCTTTGCTTCATTCTCAGCATCTTATTTAAAGTTGGGGGAACATGTGCTTTTGGGAAATAAGCTCCGTAATCCTTGGTCCCTGAAGTGATTTTCAATAGGAAATCTGAATTCCTGCTCCATGTAAAATGGGTCTCAGATGCCGAGAAATTAGTATTTGAGTGTAATTTATGATTTACTTTTCATAAATCAGTGCTATTTTGCCTACAAATCATTTTGGAAAATGTTACGGCTTTATAAAGTATGAGTCAGAGCAGGAAATACTGATTGGAAATCGAGGCTTATATGTTGATCCCTGGTCCTGTCACCAAGTAGTCACACGATTTTGGCGAGTTGCCCCAAGACTTTGAGTTTCACAGGGGGTTGTACAATTATTAAATTACATTTTTTGATGATTAATTCATTAGTTTAATACATATTTATTGCCTGGCAACTCTGCCAAGGCATCATGCCGGTCCTTTCCAATTCTTACATGTTATAAAAATCCAGGCTGATGATGGGTTACATTCTTCCAGGATGGATTTGACAGAAAGAGGGTATGATTCTAGGAGTCAGAAAGATTATTTTATTTGATTTTTTCACTACCTCAGCAGAGTAGTAGCTCCATTTTGTAAAGGAGTAAATGAGCTCAGAGGTTGAAGGACATACAGGAGGTTGCATTTCTTCTAGGTGGTAGAGTCTGGCCTGAAACTTAGGTTTGCCTGGTTCTTTCTCTAGGAGTTGCTGACTCCCTAGAATAACCCAATTTTATGTCCATTCTTAGTATTTTCCAACGAGAAACTTGGGACACACTTTGTTTTCCAGTAAAAATGGAGATTGGATTGTGCGCTCTGATTGATTTAGCTGCTTTCTCTAATCAGGACAGATTCCTTCTGGTGTGGTTTTGATCTGTGCCCCACCCAAATCTCATGCTGAATTGTAATCCCCAGTGCTGGAGGTTGGGCCTAGTGGGATGTGATTGGATCTTGGGAGTGGATCCTTCATGAATGTTTTAGCACCATCCGTTTGGTGCTGTTCTCATGACCGTGAGTGAGTTCTCACAAGATCTGGTGGTTTAAAAGTGTGCAGCATCTCCCCCATCTCTTTCTTTCTCCTACTCTGGCCATGTGAGGTGCTGGCTTCCCCTTCACCTTCTTCCATGATTGTAAGTTTCCTGAGGCTTCCCTAGAAGCTGAGAAAATGCTAGCATCATGTATCCTGCATGCCTGCAGGACCATGAGCCAATTAAACCTCTTTTCTTTTTAAATTACCCAGGCTCAGGTATTTCTTTATAGCAGGGCAAGAATGAACCAATATGCCTTCCTACACCGAGAGTGGAGCTACACACAGTTCTCTGCATGGGCAGAACAGAGTGGCTGATGGACCCCCTGGGGTATGAGATCAGGTTCTCCAGGATGCTTGTACATCAGCAGAAACATATGTTGGAGATGGCCCTAAAGTTTGGAGTCCATCACAATCTCTACCCTGCCTTTCAGGCACAGAAAACCTGGTAGAAGTGTACGAATGCCCAAAAGAGAATTATTCACAAATCAGGCAGTCAGGCCCCAAGAAAGTAAGTTAGCAATGGTGCTGGTCTGTCAACTGAAACTCTGCACTTCTTAGCATTCTTTAAATATATGTGTAAGTAAGAGACAGTGGCAAGTTAATGGCTTTGAGTTCAAGAGAGAAGGCTTTAAAATGCTGGACTTCAGATGACTAAATACATAGCAATAAGTTTTAATGAGGGAAAGAGAAAACACTCTGGGAATTTTAAGCAGGATAGAGTTTAATATTGATAACTGCATGCTTATAAAATAGTTGTAAAGGCTGAATAGGACAGGCTTCTTGGGTGCTTTCCAAGAAATACAGAACTGACCTACCAGGGGAGCTACTACTTCTGAGTGTGCCACTAGCACTGGGTAGATTTTGAATGGAAGACACCACCATTGCAACCCCTGGACAGCAGGGAGCAGGAGGATGGATACTCCAAGCTGTAATTCATGGATCAGGAAGTCAGATCAGGAAGCCGGCACTACCACCACTGTTTGTCTGTACACAGGACCCTGGAAAATGAACAGTGCAGTGTGCTGCAAGAAAAACACAACTTTTCCAAGCAGTAGTGACAACCAGAAGTCAAGGCGATGGCCTCTGCCTTACTTCTTTTTTTCAACAAATGAATGCATCAAATTGGGTCTCCAACCTCTTCATTTATGAAAATGGTGAAAATGAAGGCTGAGGTGGTCAGTGCAAGTATCTACTGCAATGGGGAAAACTCATTCTTCACAGAGATTGTTTTCTAGCATTACTTAAAACTCCAAGGGTAGAAGAACTTCCTCCAAAAACGCAAAGTAAAACAAAACAAGACCACTTAATATTCTTTTTACACCATTAGGAGTAGAGGTTATCCCAGTAATGGAGGCATTCATCTTCAGGGATTTATATTCTCTTTGTTCTATTCAGAAAGGGCTGAGCCAAGTGTGTCCAACTTAGGGTTCAGTTCCTTCCTCTGTTTGAACCCCACCCAGCTGATGTCCAATACCACTATTTCTAGTAGGAAATTTTCTTATTAAAAAAAGTTGTGTCCAATGGGAAAAGTGGTAGTTCCATCTCCTTACTGGAACAATAGATGGCAAATGTACATTGAGTTTCATTTACAGCAGACCCTGAGCACCAACTCTATTTTAAGGCCTGAGCTGGCCACTGGGCATATGGAGGTGAATGAGACACTGCCAAACAGGAGAGCCAGGTGAGTAAACAGATCATTACATGATGGAGGTAAGCCAGGGAGGGTGAAGGCGTACGAATAAACCTCGAAATACAGTTATCGAATAAACAGATAACATCGGAGAAACAAGACTCTGTAACTCTTCTTTGTGCAGCCAGTCTGCGTAGTTGCCTGCATAGTCCACACATTAACACAAAAGAGTCTATTTTTCCTGGTGGCAATGGTTCTGAAGATCAGGGTACTCTGATAATTCCTTGGGGTTGGCAGCTTCTGAAATGGCTCGCAGTGATCCCCGCTTCCTGGTATTCAAGCTTTGTGTAAATTCCTCTCCTTGAGAACGGACTGGACATGGTGATTTCCTTCTAACAAAAAAATATGGGAAAAGTGATGGGATTCTGAGATTAGGTTACAGTCCAAAACGTGGAAGTGCCGATGTTGAGAAACTCTGGGCTAGAAGTTGGTCTTCCCCGGTTATTCCCCTGGTCTCCCTGATTGATCAGATTCCAGATGTTTCCTCTGACTTTTCTGCTTGAAGCCACTTGGATGAACCATCCATGCTATTTAGCACACCCTACCCTCACACCTTCAAACACATGTACCACCCCTGCTACAGACTGAATGTATTCCCTAAAATTCATATGTTGACACCTAAACCCCAGTGTGATGGTATTAGGAGGTGAGGCTTTCTGGAGGTGATTAGGTCATGAGGTAAAGGCTTAATGACTAAGATTAGTATCTTATAAGAGGTCCCAGAGAGCTCCGTTATCTCTTCCACTCTTGCCCCTTTCACCCCTTCCACTCGTGAGAAGGCACCATCTATAAACGAGGAAGCAGGCCTTCACCAGACCCCAAATCTGCTGGCACCTTGATCTTGACTTCCCAACCTGCAGAACTGTGAGAATTTCTGTCATTTATAAGCCACTCAGTTTATGGTATTTTTGTCATAGCAGCCCAAAGGGACTAAGCCAACCCCCACTAGACAGCCTGGCTCCACAAGGGCATCATCTCTGACCAGTGTTTGCCAATATTGCCTGTTCCACGCAGTCACTCCTCTTTTTCTGTCTTTCTTGGGATCTCAGGGGCACAGAGTGGTGGAGGCCACATCCCAGTCTGTGAGTTAGTCCATCAAAAGTCAGTCCCTTAGCGAAGATCTGTTTTCACTTAGTCCCACGCATCACAGTGGCAACAACTCAGCCCTACTGAGAAATCTGCTGACAGTTTTGGATAAGGACAAATACATTTTCTGGAAGAACACAATGGAGGCAGGTTTTCTGGAGACACCAGAAAGACAAATATCAGAATGCTAAAAAAAAAAAAAAAAAAAAAAGGAAACACATACTAATAGGAACACTGAAAACAACTTTTTTTGTTTGTGTTTTTGGAAGAGCAGAGACATCATTGTTACTTTTGTCATTTCTTTTTGTTTCTTCTGAAAGCATTAACTCTGAGAAGAATGACTTTTGCCAAAAACCACCCCCACTAGGGGACAGACACGACAGGCCTACTCTACATGGGGTGATCTGGAGGGAGGGAGGGAGCCATGGACCCAAACGGAAGGATTTGAGTCCATGGCCCTGAGAGAAAGCCTGTTTTTTTGTTACTGGGAAATATGTTCTGTTCTAAGACTTCTTTCCAAAGGTTTTTCAGAGCCAGAGTCTTGCTTTTCTTTTCCCCTCCTGAGAGTAAATGAGGCAGCCACTGTGTATCTGAGAAGCATCTAGTCTATGCTGTATGGTGAGTTCATGTCCTTCCTCCATGTCTGAGTGGCTCTTCACCATTGATACCTTATCTGTCCAGTTCAGGACCTGAGAAGTGGAGCATGGAGAAGGTCCCACCAAAAAGCAAGCTGTTTGTTCTGACACAGAGACTCAGTCCTGAGTCCCTGCTGCTTTCCCCACTCTGGGAAGGCAGAGTAGAAAACCAGAAAGTTCTGGGCAACTTCTTTGGCTTTATTTATTCTTTTATTTAATAAACATCAAAAGCCTAATATATGTCAGGTTCTATGCTAGATGGCAGAGGCCCATACATGGGTCAGACACAATCTGTAACCTCTGAAAGTTCATGGTCTTTGGGATGGGGTGGGGGTGTGAACGACGGGTGCTAGATAATGAGCAATGACAGTATGGGGGATGAGGTGGCCTCCTAGAGCAGGTGACCATGAGTGCAGGTGCTAGGCTCTTGGTTCCTCCTCTTGTCTGTTCTTCTTGAGCACTTGAAAAAAAAAGTTATGGTATTCTTGCATTCTGACATTTTTTACTAAAAATACACATACATGTACTCTTAAATATACTCTTAAACCACTGTTTGTAGTGTCACAAAAACTGGCAAATAAGGTAATTTCCAAATAACGTATCATACATTCATCTTAGGGGATATTTTGCAGCGATTTAAAAGAATATAAAAGAGTGAATGAAGCTTTATAAGATAACTTGGAGGAGTTGTCTGTGAGCTATTGGTGAATGAGAAAAGTAAGATAAGCAAATGTGTAATATGCTGCTTTTTTTTGTAAAACAACAATAAAAATATGATGTATGACATATATGAATATATATATATATATATATATATATGAATATACAGGTATCTAAAGAAATCCAAAGAAGAATGCACATAGGTTGTGTTGGATATTTTCTTTTTGCCTCCCAAATTCACTCCCTGCCCTGCCCCAGCCGGTGGTGTGCCTGGAACCTGACCTTTATGTGCTGCATTCACAGCCCAATATACCTTTTGGTTTCTGGTTGGTTTCATGAATGGAATTACCAGTAGGAGATGAGAAGGAGGGAAGGGCATGGGAAAAGGGTGTTTTCCTCTTACTCCTTCCTGCCAGTGACGGTGGCACCGGGTAGCTGCCTCTCCTTTACTGAAGTCCACAGCTCCAGATCGGGGGGGCCTCCATATGACCACTCTCTTCCTGTTGTATAATCTTTATCTTTGGCCCTTCAGGTCTAAAGGGCGATTTGCTGTGGCTTCAGCATCTTTTGCTAGTTTTTCTTAACCTGCGCTCACTTTGAAAATTGTCTCTTTATTAAAATCTCCTTGAGCGCTGTCTGAGTGCACCACACCATCTGTTTCCTGCAATGAGCCTGTCTGATAGGGTTGTTGATGTGTTATCTCTCGGGGAGGGACTGTGGAGATGAGAGACAGTGATAGAGGGGAGAAGAGGGGAGACTGGGGAGCCAAGCCAAAAAAGAAAAAATTGCACCTATGAAGTCAAATAAATGTATGTATATGCATGGACATGAATGGGATGAAATTAAATAAATTTTTTAAAAAGGAGAGGACCGGTCAGGCATGGTGGCTCACACTTGTAATACCAGCACTTTGGGAGGCAGAGGCAGGTGGATCACTTGAGCTCAGGAGTTTGAGACCAGCCTGGGCAACACGGTGAAACCTCATCTCTACAAAAAATACAAAAATTAGCCAGGCGTGGTGGCACGGGCCTATAGTTCCAGCTACTTGGGAGTCTGAGGTGGGAGGAGGCTTGGGCCCAGGAGGCGAAGGTTGCAGTGAGCTGAGATTGTGCCACTGCACTCTAGCCCAAGTGGCAGAGACAGACCCTGCCTGAGAAAAAAAAAAAAGAACTAAAAAAAAAAAAAATTCCCCTCAGTAGTGACACCAGAAGAGGCTTTGCTCTCTATGCTCACTCCTTCTTTTTGCCTCACATGCTGTCCCCAAATCCAGCATAGAAAGCTCCTATGGCCTCCTCTTCCGTGCACTCTCCCCCAGCTGAGTGGACACTGTGAGGACACGTGGGGCTGGAAGGGGCAGCCCTGGAGGGGAGCATCCCCTCGAATGCTCGAGCTACAGCTGGCATCTTCCCTTATTTTACACATTCAGCACTCTTCTCTCTGCAGGTTTTGTTTATGCTGGTCATTCTGCTTAGTCCTTCGAAGTCCAGTTCATATCTTTCCTCCCTGAGAAAGTCTTCCCAGGCTTTCCCTTCTCTACTCTTCAGACAATGTTAATAACTTCTTTTTTCCAATCCCTTCCCTTTTCCATGTGTCTGTTGCCACTTTTGACAACTGTAAGGCATTGCTTGGTCTGTCTTAGGCACTGGAGTGAAAGCTCTTTGAGGTAAGGCCCTGGATTTAATGTCCAAGCACAATTCTAGCACTCAGCCAGAGCCCAGCTCTCAGGGAGTGCTCACTGACTGTGCATTGGTTTGATTGACTGGCTGGTTGGTCGGTTCATTGATTATAGAGATTTCCCAATGGAATGAATCTCTAAGCTGAACCAGTTCAGTTCGTTGTCTTATGTATGAAGACTTCTGAACACAGAGACAAGTAACTTGCCTGGAGGCTCACAGCTAGCAATAGCAGAGCTGGGTCTGGAGCCCCTAGGCCAACGTCTGCTTTAAGAACATTTACGCCTTCTCATGTCTGAAACCTCTCACTTTCTACCCATTCATCCCCTCTGCCTCAGGATGTCCTGGCTGGAGAGGCACGTGGCTAAAGTGGTCCTTTCTCCTATCACACTGAGCTCTATGTGGTTCAGATTTGCTCTCCTGTGCCCGACAATCTGTGCCTCAGAATAGCCAATTGTCAAGGATCATATAGGGAGAGGCAGCTGGGGGGCATATCTCCCTGGGCCCTGATACGTTACACTTCCCAGAAACCTAGAGTGAAGCATGTGAAGTTGACAGTCCTGTTTTATTTCAGGAGGGAGAGGGACCATGCACTCTACATGAATAACCAGAGGAGAAATGCTTATTCATCTTTTTCCAGAAAATTTACATTCCTTCTAACCCAAGACCCATTGCAAACATCTCCCTACAGAAATGATGACCCTTGTGATTTATGGTCCAAAACTGACTCCCATCCAAAAGGATTATGAGACACTCTGGGCCTGAAAAGTGAGTTTGTGGGACACACAAACACATCCACATATGCGCATTTTCTCTCTGTCCCTCACCCTCTCTCTTGCTCTTTCTCTCCCTCTTTCAAACCTAGTAATGAGCTCCTGCATTAGGCTGCAGACTTGCTGTGGCCCATGATGCCAGTGTGGCATTGGAATTCATCTCACTTGGAAAGACTATTACAGTGTTTTTTGGTGTTTTGAACAAGCATTCTGGGCTGTTCCCATAGAAAGGTATTACTTGGTGCTGCATATTAAAAAAAAATGCATGTTACAATTCTGTTCTCATTCTCCACTTCCATGTGGTCCCTTACCTCGTTCTCTCCTCCACCTATTGCCAGAATGATTATTCCAGGACACAAATCTTACTGTTTGTCTCCTTAACACCTTTTCATGACCCCAAAATCTACTGCTCACATGATGAAATTCGAGATCTGCAGCACGTGGTTCGGGACTCCTGCCAACCTCACCAGGCTCAGCTCTTTCTGCTTCTCCCCAGGCAGCCTAGGCCAGTTGAGACTAGGAGTTGAGGTTCCTCAACTCTTCCCTGAGCATGCCTTCTTTTGTCGTTTACAGCATTGTCCTTTTGTGTATTCTGATCCCTCTCCCTAGAATAGCACTCTCAGTTTTCTTCACCTAGAGATCTATTTTAGGAATTGTGCTAAATCTTGCCCAAAAACTTACGAGGTTTGTGTGTGTGTATGTGTTTGTGTGTGCATGTGTGTTTTCACAGTGTTTTACCTTGTTTCTTACATTTCACATAAGAGTCCAGATTCTCAGCCTATCTTGAAAAAGCAGTAGATTAGTCAACTGTGCCTTTGTGCAAAGTAATTATCTATAGGGGCTGAGTAGCAATTGTCCATTTTAGAACAGAGCATGACACTTTAGTGCATTTCAGTCTCCACCTCACCTGCTTGAAGGCTTTTCACAGTGATTTCTGTTCTCTGTGGGCTTCACAACAAGCCCCATTGTTAACTCTTCTAAGAAGCCTCTTTACTCCCTACCAGGTAGAATATTCTCTCCTTCTGCTCTTATACCGCTGTGCATATATTGCAACCGCAACACTTTTTATATGGTATTGCACATGGATTTGTTCAAGGAGATTGTCTCTGAGATTATTGCTAAGGATATAAAAGTGAAGAAGACTTAATTCTTGCCCTCAAGAAAACTTTCACTCTAGGGAAGAAAATGACACATACACACAGAGATAATCAAGATATGATATGGGAAGTACATTAATAAAATATATTTAGAGCATTATGGGGAAACAGATGAGAATTCTTGAATGAGCCTGAGGTCTACAAATGCCTCTGTATTAGTCTTCTATTAGTGCTGCAACAAATTATCCCAAACTTAGTGGCTTAAAACAACACAGATTTATTATTTATAGTTCTATAGCTTAGGAGTGGAACATATACCTTACCCAGGCAAAGACTGGTGTTGGTAGGGTGCATTCCTTTCTGAACATTCTAGGGTAGAACCATTTCCTTGCCTTTTCCTGCTTATAGAGGCTACCATACTCGATGACTCATGGCCTCATTCCTTCATCTTCAAAGCCAGCAACATTGGGCCAAGTCCCACTCATACTGCCATCTTTCTGATTCTTTTGATTCTCTCTTCTGCTTTTAAGATCCTTTGTAATTACATAGGGTTTACTCAGATAATCTAGAACAATCTCTCCATCTCCAGATTAGCTGATTAGCAACCTTAATTCCATCTGCAACTTTGATTTGTCTTTGCCATATGATATAACTTGTTTACAGGTCCTGGAGATTAGGAAATGAGCATTTTTTTGGGTGCCCTTATTTTGCCTACTATATTTTCTGTATTGGTTAGGATAGGCTGTACTCTGCTGCAATAACAACCTCCAATCTCAGTACAAACAAAGCTTTGTTTCTTGAATATACAGAAGATTGCTGTGATTCTAGATGACTCTCCAGGGCAGCTCTCTTTCTTGCAGTGACTCAGTGACCCTAATTGTTTCTGTCTTGTGATGTCATTTCAACATATGGATGCCAATTCACCACAGTGACGGAAGTAAAAGCACAGAGACTTCACATCTGTGTTCAGTGCTTTCATTCTATTTCACCAGGAAGAGACTCAAGTATCTTCTGCTTGCCACCTCTTGGCTAGAGCTAATCACGTGAGCTCAATTGCAAGGGATGCTGGGAAATGTAGTCTTCTTATGTGCCTAGAAAGAGGAAAATATAATAGTTTTGATAATCACATAGCATTGTTACTGTAACAGCTCCTCAAATGAGATGATAACTGGACTGAAACTTAAAGGGTCATTGGGAAGAGGTGATGAGGAAGGCGAGGTAATATGAGAAAAGACATGGTATTATAAAATACCACAGTTTGTTCAGGAAACTGGAGTTAAGTGTCAAGCAGGTAGCATTGATGGGGGAGATGCGGAACATGGAAGA
Organism: Homo sapiens; assembly: GCF_000001405.40. Taxonomy (NCBI): domain Eukaryota; kingdom Metazoa; phylum Chordata; class Mammalia; order Primates; family Hominidae; genus Homo; species Homo sapiens. Next base: position 107,943,376 of record NC_000009.12, read on the forward strand.
GAAGAGAGGATGGAAGGCCTTGACTAACATCTTAGAAGGGTGTTGCATGGTTAAATTTTCACTCCAGATAGATCCATAGAACATAAATCAATGAAACCGGGACATTCTCCCTCTCTCAAAAAAATATATATTTTTCTCTCTTGAGAATATATACATATACACACACACACATATATATAGAGAGAGGAAATATATATAGAAAACAGTTATATATATATAGAAAAAATATAGAGAAAAACATTTAACTATATACAAAATACATGTTTAGAGGGAAATATATATGGAAAATATTTGATACATAGAAAATATTTAGAAAGAAATATAGAGAAAGATAACATATATGTATATATGTATGTATGTGCGTATATATATTTTTTCTGGTACTGAAAAAATGCCTATCACATAATGTGTGTTCAAAATATATCTAGATGCTTGAATCACTCTAGATGTTGTGTGAATGATGGAGTTGAAGTGAACAGAGGATAGAGGCTCCAGTTTCATTTAGAAGGTTGTCATATTGATTTAGGCAAAAATGATGAGGTTTCAAGTCATGATGGGGACAGATATAATGTGGAAAAGAGGACCAATTATAGACACATTTAAGAGGAAAAAATATGGAAAACTTGATAATTGATTGTATGTGGCAGCAGACCAGGCACTGAGGGGAAAAAGGATATTAAGAACGACTCCCAAGGGTCTGGCTTGGGAAAGTGGGTGGGTGGATTGTGCTCATGGAGAGTGAGATCACAGGAGGAGGAACAGATCTTGGACAATCATGAGGAGTTTAATATGAAACATATGGAAGTTGAGGGCATTTTGAGGGGCACCTGGAGCACATGAAAAAGTTTGTGAAGGAGATAAACGTCTATAGGCTGGGCTTGTAATCCCAGCACTTTGGGAGGCTGAGACGGGTGGATCACTTCAGGTCAGGAGTTCAAGACCAGCCTGGCCAATGTGGTGAAGCCCCCCCCCCCCCCCCCGTATTAAAAATACAAAAATTAGCCAGACATGGTGGCACACACCTGTATTCCCAGCTACTCGGGAGGCTGAGGCAGGAGACTCGCTTGAGCCTGGAAGCAGATGTTGCTGTGAGCTGAGATCGCACCACTGCACTCTAGCCTGGGTGACAGAGTGAGAATCTGTCTCAGGAAAAAAAAAACAAAAACCCAAACCAAACGAAACTAAGAAACATCTACAGGGCCGCCGCAGACGGGTGGTAAGCGAAACTTCTAGACGGCATGGTAGCTCTATGAGACTGGGTAGAAACAAGAGTGAGCAGGACAAGGCACACAACCTAAGAAACTCTGGCATTTAAGGGGTCATCACAGAAAAAAGAGATTAAAAATAAGTGAAGAAGGAATAAGAACCAAGAGTGAATTCCAGAGAGAGCTCGTGGGATGGAAGCTAATGACAGTAAGAAACTCAGGAAGGTTGATTAGCAGCGTCTATGCTGCAGAAAGGCCCAGAAGATACCAATGGAAAGGGCCAACTGAATTAGCCAATTAGGAAGTTTACCAGTGAACTTGGAGAGCACCGGGCTGGTAGAGTTATGTCTGAAATTAGATTAACATGGGCTAAACAGTGAGTGGGAAGTAAGAAAATGAAGATAACATTAGCAAGAAGTATGGCAGAGGGATGGAGAAAGGGATAACAGGAGATTTAGTGGCAAAAAGAGGTATAGGAGATTTGCAATACACATCTAAATATTTAAACAAATAACCAGGAACCAACCATAAGCTCTTTTGCCTTTGAAGTTGGAGGTGGTATCCATAAATTGGATTTTGACACCAAACGTTCGGTTGATCACATTAGAGAGTTTAAGCTGTGCTGCTTCCACTTGTACCCCCGAGGGCAAGACCTTCCACTTAGATACTTGGGCAGGCAAAGATACTCCTTTCCTCAGTGGCCTCAGCATCCTTACTGCTCAGGATGCAGCTGATTCCAACAACCAAAAGGTGCATATGAGAGGGACCCAGCGAGAAACTGGCCTTACTAATTAGTCAAGCTCCTGTTGGGAAGTGTGAGACCTTTAACTGGAAGTTGGAGAGCAATGATACCCTCAGCATTGTACTGAAGATGCAGAGTCACCAAATTCTCCTGAGCCTGCAAAGGCTTAAATTAAGATAATAATTTCTACCTCATCAACCTATTGACAGTATGAAATACACTAATATATTTAAAGGGCTTAGCAAGAGGCCCAGCATATAAAAAGTGCTCAGTAAACAGTAGTTCCTTTCTGTGACTAAGTTGCTTCATTATCTTCTCCCTGATGTCAGTTTCTGGGTGCCGCTGATAAACCTTGATGTCCGTAATGTGATTGACTATATGGCACCTCTAGAGGAGAGAGGTGAGATGCAGCATGGCACTAGAGAGACAAGATGTCAGGCACTTAGGCTCTTAATGCTGGCTCTGACTGTTAGAAATAACTTTAAACACTCTCTCATTCCTGCCACATCATCCACCCCTTGGATCCCAGCTACTATCTCATGGTTGTGTCTTTGGACAGGTCTCTTCACCTCTCTGCTCTTCACCTTCCTAGAAAATGAGATAATTGTGAAATAAGTGAAAGTACTTTGAAAAGTATAAAGCACTGTCCAAATATAATATTTTAATTACAGTTAAGGTGATTGCTTATTTAATTCATAGAGAAGATTATTCTTGCCTCAACTAAATGATTTAGGGACAAATATTTTTAACTTGAATCACGCAGATGATTGCTTAGGCTCTCCAACTCCCATTGGTTGTGTTGACACAGCTTTTGGAATTTGAAAAGGAGTTCCTCCATGAACATGAAATTGGAAACTTCTTTTTCTTGGACGTGGCTTTTTGCAGTATCTTTGAATAATTCTTCAGATTCTTCAGACTGGATGGATTCTTCCTATGACCAAAGTTCTCAACTGGTCAAAGGCAAAACCCACCTCCAGTTTCTTGGAAGTATCTCTTGTTAAGCCAGCCCTACTCCTCTTTATCTGAAAGAGAGAGTAAATGTAGGCATACGATGCCTTTAAACACATAGGGCAGTGCCTGCCTTTATTTACTAGCTAGAAAAGAATTATCTGCTGGGCAGTGTGACAAAATTACATTGTGATTTCTGGTTCTCCAAAGCGGAAGAGGGAATACAATTCCTTCCCAAGAACTCTTCGGTTTGGCAGTTGGGGTTGTTTGAGCTGTGATAAAGGCTAATATTTATTCAGCCACCTTCCCAAATCCAACCTGCTACTTGGAATCTGCTCAGTGGTGATCAAGCGTTAGTTATCTCAGTGCCCTGTTTGTTCTCACAGCCAAGAACCCAGGCTGGTATCAAATGCCAATATATCATGTCTCAAGGACTGGCTTACTGAATCATGTGGCAGGGCCTGGAGGGGGATTTCCAGTTTAATTTATTCTAGTGTGTAGAAAGATAATGCACAAAATAATGAAATGTGAGAGTTAGTTGGGGATTCAAAACCCAGCGAAAGATCCTGAAGCATTATAGAGAAATGATCAGCCTCCCAGATAGGATTAGTGACTTTCCTGGGTCACTTAGCTGGTTAGTTGCAGAGTCATAGCCAGAGTTGCCATGGCTAGGGTTACCATTTATTGAGTAACAGCTATGTCCTAGGCATTGGGCACTTGGCATACATTATCTTGGTTCTCACAATCCAATTCATTGGTGAATCCTGTTACTCATGGATGTAGAAAACAAGATTGGTAGCAAAGAAATAACTTTTCTAAAGTCATACATGTAGGAAATGTGAAAAATTCTCATATGTGCTCTGTATCTATTAGAATGCCATGCATTGTAAATAAAAGAAGATTCATCTTTAAATGGCTTAGTTTATAAAGGAAATATATATATTGTCCCAGTAGGGCTGGCTTAAGGTTTGATTTGGTGGCTCAAGTGATTAGACTGAAACAAAGCTTCTCTCACTTCCTTCTCAGCCTCTCTTCATTAACACTGGCCCTCTTCAAAGACTTAAAATTACGGTTGCAAGGTTGCTGCCAACAACTAGTGGGGCTGCAGACTCAGGTTCAAACTGAGTAGATATTAGAAACTCTGCCTTGCATACAGCTGAATGATGAGGCTCCATTGGCCTCAATTGCTTCTTGCACCAATTGCTGGGTCAATCACTGGGACCAGGGGGATGGACTATGTTGATTCATTTAAGTCAATCAGGGCACACTGCAGGGAATTGCAATGGGATTCAGGACTGAATCCATCTACACTCACACAGCTTATTATCCACATTAACCTGACTTTACTATTTGACTGTCTTCACTAACATAACTTTGCTATTCCACTGTCTTCATCAATGTAGCATTACTCCTCCAGGGAACCCTTCCCCAGGAAGATAAAAGTTGCAGATTACTTACTGTTCATTTCAGGAACTTTCTCCCCTGTATCCACCGAAGAAACAAAACAAATAAACAAAAATAATTTATATAAACACCACACTTGAAATTTTTAATAAATAGCATCAAATGACTGTTTACTCTCTAAGACTTTTTGAATCATAGCTTGAAGCCTTTGATTGTCTACCAATCCTGAAGTATTATATTGTGATACTTATCCAATCCTAATTAGGCCTCTCCCATTGAAAGTTCATCTTAGGTCAGACTCCAAAATCTTATAAATATCTGAACTTTGTCCTGTGATGCTACTAAGACTTTATTATGGTAGTGTTTCCCCTTGTTTTGATAAGAATATACTCAGCTTTGTCTTATCAACTGGCTATTTTGATGATATTTTCATGGAGTCTGCATTCAGCATTAATTCTACTCAAAATACCTTACTATGGAAGTCAATGTAGAGTTAGGAAGAGGGGAAGGAGCATGGGATGACGAGGACAACCACCAAATGTCCACACGTGCTGTGTGAATGGGGCTCCAGCCTTTACTGCTTACTTGAGAAATCGGGCATTTAAATGACATCATTTATTTGGCATTTCTTTGGTGGGAGGGAATGCATGGGAAGTCAGATGAGCCCCAGGGCCACGGAGAGCAACACGGAATCAACTGGGAAGATATAAATGCATGGTCTTCTTCTCCTAGATTGCCTTTCGAAGCTTTGGGCTTTGAAACAATGTTTTGAGCACTAGGCAGAGTCTGGGCTTATCCATGGCAATTCTGGACCAGTGGGAAGAGCACTGAGCTTGCAGTCAGAGACCCTGGATTTTAGTTCCAGTCCCCTTCACTTACCACTTATGTGGCCCAGGGTGGTCACAGTACACTCTTCTTCTGAGCCTTATCTGTACATTAAGGATGGTAAAACCTATTTTATCTTATTTTGGAGGTTTAATGTAGATAGTAAATATGAAAGGAAAATTTAAAATGCATAAATGGCACATACACGTGAGAAATGATTAATTTTGTCAGCCATCCACAAATTCCTACTCAGTTGCTATTGTGACTAATCTGCTTAAACTCTGGCAGGATTTAAAGTGTAAACCACTGGGAAAGAGAAAAGCTAATTGACCCAGCCCAGGTCTATGACCTTGACCACAATGGCATGGTTCTCTTGACACTACACAATTTTCCTATTTGTAGATAGTCTAATTCTCCCGCTTTAATTTCCAGGTTGGTCAGTCAAAACAGTACAGTATTTAAAGCCAGAGAGACAAGGTCTAAGGTTTCAGGGACACTTACTGTATGTCTGGGTTGGGACAAGTTACTTAGACTGTCAGAGCCTTGGTTTACTTATATATATATAAAAAAAAAAACTGCAGGCAACTCACATAGCTGTTGTAAGGATTGAATGTGAGTAGACTCTCAATATATGTGACTGCATTTGAATATGATATTTAGGTCATGTTCTGTGTGATGCTTTTGTGCCAAAATCACACTTTATATTAGGTCACCTTAGCATACGCGTGACCCCAGAGAAAGGAAACACATGAGGGAGTGCATCCATGTCACTGCATAGCTAATTGAGTGTGGCAATAAGAACTTTCGCAATTCTGAGGATGAAACATCTGGTGACTGTTGCAGGGATAATTACTGTCCTTTATAATTGCAGGTATTCCTAGACATAATATTTCCTAGCATTCTTGAATTCACACAAAGTAGCAATGGTTGGAATACCTTTTGGACGTTTATATTTCATGGTATACTTTTATGGTACACATAATAGTCTTTTTTGGTCTTACAATGATATGTATATCTTTCTCCTACACAAGAACTCTGGTAACTTCCCCCTTCTTTTAGGATTGTAAGCCTTAGTTTCCCTTAACAGGCTACACAGGGATGCACTTGAATGGTGCTGAATGTTGGAAACTGTGGTTCTGTCTGTATGGCTGCTGGTGTATGTGGGTTATTTAATTAACATGGTAGATTAGATTTTGTGGTAGAACAAAGTAAAGATTGTATTCAACATGAGAACTGGTGAATCATATAAACAATTTCACTTTACTGGGGGCCCTGTGTCTGCCCTTTAAAGGGAATGACAGAGGATCAGGAACATGGAGCTTTGGGAATCTCTAGTCATCATGGATCAGTTCAAAATGGGCTGTGTGTGGTGAAAGAAATTCTGGTAGTCACAGCTGGTCAAGGGGCAGGATGGGGTGGCCCAAGGGCAAAGATAAAGATGAAGAAATGAATACAGCATAGCACTGAGAGAAACAGGGGAAAATAGAAGAAAGAATAAGAAAGATGGAGAGTAGTGAATGATGTCGAGAGAATTTTGTTTTTATTTGTTTGATTCTTCCAAATCCTTGAATTGGTTCCTTTGTAAAAACATACAAACAAACTGAGAATACAGGTCCATATAAATTCTTAAGGATTTTAGAGGTCAAAGCTGTTACTGAATACAACTCCATGTAGAAATTGGTCCATGTAAGTTCATATGTAATTTTCTGGTTACAAGAGAGTTAAGAATTGACTATCTAGTTTTGCGTGTGTGTGTGTGTGTGTGTGTGTGTGTGTGTGTGTGTGTGTGCGTTTTGAGACCAGACTGACAGACTTACTAATGCCCATTAAATAAATTATTGAACCACCAAACAGATTTGTTAGGCATGGGGAATGAATAAAGAGAGTCTCAGAAGACAAGTCTCAATACTAAAATGGCATTCTCCTTTATGAAATACTGAAGTCTGAGTGGGCCCTTTTTTTGTTTGTTTCTTTTTTTATTTTCAGAAAATCATTCACAACTATCTTTCTCTTCTTTTTTTTTTTTTTTTTTTTTAACATTTTTGGACATATGTGAATCTCTATGTCATAAGAGGTATGACTCTCTGAAACCATTCCAAAACTTGAATAATAATCATAGCTACAATTTCTTGACCATCTTCAGGTGCCAATTAAAGGCTAGATACTTTATATCCATTATCTCTAATCTTTACAACTCCCTCACTCTATGATCTGTATCCCCTAACCCCTCTTTCATAATTTTTTACTTTTTGTCTTTGTGGAATGCATTGTGAGTGATTTCCCAGGTCCATTTTCCAGTTCACTAATTCTCTCTTCTGCTCTCTTAAATCTAATGTTTAATGCATACATTGAGTATCTAATTTTAATGACTGTATTTTTTATTTCTAGAAGTTCTATTTGGTTCGTTTATAACTATCTAGCCAAATTTGTAGTCTCTTATCATTTTATTATACTTTTAATAGTCTCTTTTTTCTGAAAAAATATACAATACAAAATTAAATTATATGTTACATGTAATTCAATACATAATATGTGTAATCTATATTACAGTCATTTGTTATTATATTTTTTACTTCTAGAAGTTCTGCTTTGTTCTTTAAAAAATTGTCTTAATATCACATGTACACATTTTCAAGCCTGTTTTTAATTGAAATAATTAAATAACATTTATTTTATATATTCTGTCTTCTAGTACTTGAAGTCTGATTCTGCTGTCTCCTGTTACTGAAGACTCTCATTCATGGTGCCTGGATTGCTTAAACATTTAGTGAGTTTTTACTGTGATTTGCTCATTTACTTTGGAACTTTATCTGTGTAAATTCTTTAAGATTTGGAACAATATGAGTTCTTGAAGAAAGGATTTGTATTTGCTTTTGTCAGGTGTCTGATGGCACTACTGGCTTTAAAATAAATTTTAAAATAGGTGCTTAAAAATAAACTTTTACTTGTGGTTATTGAGACCACCAAGTAAGTATGAATTTAGGCCAAACAGCCATGAATGGGTGGTTTGTGATTGTTGATTCCTTTCTTCCCCGCTAACTTCCCAAATTTGTTAAGATTGTAAATTCTTATGGCAGATTGCCCCCACTTCACTCTGTACCAGTGTGTGAGAGATGCAGTTTTCCATGTAGTTCTTTCTGAGGCAAGGGAGGTAAAGTTGACTTCCAGCTTATCTTTACAATGAGGGTGTAGACTCAGAGGGCCCAGCTTTATGGATTCCTATTAGACTCCTCAGAACTGTAGGCTTCTGTCACTCACACACCACAAGGCAGCAAGATGATGGTCATATTCATCAGGCTTGGCAAATGCTACGGATGTGGGAGCCAGCCCCAGGGCTCCATCAGCCTCCAGGAGTTTCCACCTTTATTCAATCCCTTATAAGAATATTCTATCATTTCTCAACAGCTCATATTAGAAGTCCTAGCCAGAGCAATTAGGCAAGAAAAAGAAAAGAAACAAAGGACATCCAAAGTGTAAAAGAAGAAGTAAAATTATCTTTGTCCTAAACAACAAAGAGAAAGGAGCCTGAAAAAAAAATCACTGGCCGGGTGTGGGGGCTGACGCCTGTAATTCCAACATTTTGGGAGGCTGAGGTGGGTGGATCACCTGAGGTCAGGAGTTCAAGACCAGCCTGGTCAACATGGCGAAACCCCATCTCTACTAAAAATACAAAAATTAGCTGGGCGTGGTGGTGCATGCCTGTAGTCCCCAACTACTCAGAATGCTGAGGCAGGAGAGTGGCTTGAACCTGGGAGGCAGAAGTTACAGTGAGCCGAGATCGTGCCACTGCACTCCAGCCTGGGCAACAGAGCAAGACTTCGTCAAAAAAATAATAATAAATAAATAAATAAATAAATAAATAAATAAAATAAATCACCCAAAACCAGAGAACTGTAGGATTATAACAACAAAAATGAAGGAAATACAAATACATCCAGCAATGTAGGTGAATCTCCAGAGAATCACGCTGAGTGGAAAAGACAACCCCTAAAGTTTACATGCTGTTTATTCTATTTATTTAACATTCTTGAAATGACAAAATTGTGGAAAGGGAGAGCAGATTAGTAGTTGGCAGAGCATGGGGGTTGGGGGCAAGAAGGAAATGGGTATGGCTACAAAAGGGCATCATGAAGGATCCTTGTCATGTTGGAAATGTTCTGTATCTTGACTGTATCAATGTCAGTATCCTAGTTGTGATACTGTACTATAGTTTTGCAAGATGTTACCATTGGGAGGAACTCCTGAAAAGGTACATTGGATGTACCTGTATTATTTCTCACAATTACATGTGAATCTACAATTATCTCAAAAAAAGTTGAATTAAAAAAAAACACAGGCTACTCAAGTTTATGCAGTAAAAAGGCTTGACTACTGCTGCTTCATAGCAAGTAGACAGAATGATCTGGCAGTGCCAGCAGATGCCACTTGTGCAGCCAGTTGGGTAATTATACCCCATGGATTCCATAGTAATTACAGTGGGACTCACACTATACTTCTCATGCCGGAAATCATCACATTCCCTTAGTAATTACTCAGAAGCAAGCACCTATGGCAGTGGATGGCTTGCAACTGATGGCTGACAAACTGTTAAGAAATAAAGAAATCAGCCTAATTTGCAGGCAGGATTGGGCAGCAGTCTACAGTCCCTTTTGGGTTTATCATGACCATTAGCAAGATATCTGGGAAAATTGTGAGGAATGTTCTAACAATAAGTTTGTAGTTTGTTTTCAAGGATAATAGCTTCAAAATAGTGCTTGATTTCCCTATTTATTACCAAAACAACAACAAAAGCCAACTAAAGAATGATGTGATGACAACTGTTTGGGATATGGTCATTGTCTATCTTCATTTGTCTCCCAAAAGGGACCCATTGGAGAAGCAAGTTAGCATAAAGTTCTCCAGGAGAAAGGCACTGCTCACTTACGTTGACTGCCCACTAAGCGTAGAAATAACAGAGACTTTATTCCACTGGAGCCTCACAATACAGAGATGTCAGTTTTCCAGAAGGAAAATCTCAGGTTTTAGGGAAGTAAAACTTCTCTGAGGTTGCAAGTGGGAGTTAAAGAGAGCTGGAATTTGAACCTGAGTCACTCCAATCACAAAATTCTGTCTTCTTTTTAGCCCATAGCAGCAAGTGTTGCTCCAAGTTCTCCAGTACATTTATTTCAGAGCTAAGAATAAGAGCAGGTCTATGAGCAATGTCAGCATTAAGTGGGAGGAGGAAGGACTTTGTATTGAGCAAAGAGCACTAGATTTGAGATCTAAATCCTGGACTCTTATCTCGTCTTTAGCTTTGAGGCTTTTGCATAAAGCCTTTCATTTCTATGAGCCTCGGTTCCTTCATTTGTGAAATAGTGGTTGTAACAATTAAATTAGGTGATAAATGAAAAGTAACTAGCATAGGGCTTAGTCCATAGTCCAATAAATACGAATGTTGTTAGGGATTCTTTGAGCTTAGGATAGGGCAGAGTGGACACTTTGGCTCTAGTTAATCATTAACCCCTGGTTCACAACAGGTACCTGTAGACCACTTGCTTCTCAAAGATCCATTTGAGGTACCTGCAGTGCAGGAGCCTCCTTATACCCTTCTTAAAGGTTTCAGCCTCGGAGATGAATGTAGCAGTTCTTAAGACCTTCCAACCCATGTCCTCCTAAGGGTAAGGGAACCTTGCTAAATTAAATATCATCTTCAGAAACCTTCTAGAGCTGGGATGCATCAGCTGTTTACTCCCCTCTCTTTCTCAAGCCAAGCTCATCTGGTCTTCATTGCGATTATCTATGTGTCTGTCTCCCTTTATAACATCAATTTCCTGAAAGCAGTAATCTGCTTCGATACCGTATTCTTAGGACCTAGTACAGGGCCTAGAAAAGAGAAGACACACAATCATGCTTAAAAATAAATCAGTAAACAGACAAGCACATGCATGACCTCTGGAGTCTGTGCTGATTTTTAGCTTAGAGTGGTCAGTGCTCAGTACTCACTGTCCAGGCAAGTGTTTGATGTCAGAGGGTGACAGGGAAGTTTGACTGTCCCAACCATAGCCACTTTGTGTTGGGCAATCAGGAACTTTTCCGGTAGAGCTGATCCTCTCTCATGACACGTGTTAATTTTTGTATTGGCATTAAGTACATATAAGGAACATTTCACGTGAAAGACTCAAAACACTCCGATTTCTGGGCTCATCCCTATATTATTCTCATGTATCATTAGCACTTCTTTTTTCTTTCTTTTCATAAAAACAGATTGCATTGTGTTTCCCAGCTTGGGCTCCTAGAGACCAAAAGCAGTGACAGAGGATGTCTCCACCCATTTACCTGATGTCACTGCAGAAGACAAATGCCCCACTGGTTGGAGTTGCTAGTGGGGACAGTGGAACAAAGAGTCCAATATGAGAGAGATATCCCCTCCTTCCTCCTCTTTCCTCTCTTCCTCCATGAGGGAACACCGTGGTTTTGAGTGCTAGCTGTCACTCTCTGGTTGTTGGCTTTGCACATAGAAGTTGGATCTTCTGAAGCTTTAAAATGGGAATAATAATGGTCATTCTTATGGGGTTGAGGAGAGGGTTTATTCGTCAATTTAGCAAGTGTTTATTGACTGTGTGCTATGGGCCAGACACTTCTGTCAGTGATGGAAATATGTCAGTGAATAGATTCAGAGGTGACACATGATCCTGGAGAAAATTATGGCAGTCGGGGATACCCAGTGCTAAGTGGGGGTAAGTGGGGTTAAATTTAGTGGTCAGGGGGGACCTTGCTGAGAAGATGACATTGGAGCAAAGACTTGAAGTTGGTAAGGAGGTGAGCCACTTGGATACCTGGGGGACAGCTTCTAGCCAGAGGGACTAGCCAGCACAAAGCCTCGGGGCTGGAGCAGGCCTGGCGTGTTTGTGGAACTGCAGGGAGGTTTATAACTGCATATGAATGTGTAATTATATATTACAAAATTTAATTAAAAATTTAAAAATGTGCCATTTAGGACACCCAAGTTCATGCAATGAAAGGGTCACAGTCAGGAGTAAGAGGAACAGCAGTAGGACCTGCGGTCAAGGAGGTGGGGGCAGCATATGTAGAACCCGTAGGACGCTATAAAGTCGTGTACATTCTCAATAAAATTGAAAGCCACTCGAGCATTTTGAGCAGAGGAGGAAACTGATAGGACTTAAATGTGAAGAAGCTCCTGTAGTTGTTGCATTGCAGGAGGCTGTAGGAAGACAAGTAAAGAAGAAGCAAGCAGGTCACTTAGCCAGTTAGTTGGAAATGATCTACAGCAAGTGCCGTAGATCACTGGCTAAGGGGCCCCCTTGCTTTTTCTTCACTTGGTATGCATGGCCCAGATGATAGACATGCTCAACCACCATTTCACCTTGGCCATGTACACTTGATGTGCCATTTAGATAAATAGTCTTCTTTGCAAACAGGGACAAGTAGTAAAATCAATCCGTGATTTCCATAGTTTGATGAGTCTATACTCAATCAACTCTTGGCTCCGAATGTTCCTCTATGATCTTGGGAAAACTCTTTTGCATCCCACTAAAGTACAGTCCCCCCAGCGTAAGCTGAATACTAATAATCTCTTCCATATAGGGTTATCAGTAGCACTTATTACAATAATACCTATAAAGTATCTCACACATAGGAGGACTCCAAAATGCTAGTTCTAGTCACCATCCCTCATTTATAGTCTGTGTTTCTGTAACTCATGTTTCTTTTCAGCATTTTCTGATTCATGATTCTGAAATTAAAAAGTCTTTTATGGTTACTAAACATTCATGTTTAATTAAATAGCCTTTTTAATTTTAAAAGGACAAATGTTGGAGGCATGTATTAACAGCTCTTGGCCAAATGCCTGAGGGAAGTTTGTTTGTTTAGTTTATAAGGCTGACCCAGCACCTAACTGAGTGCTGGGCATATGTTAGATGCTCAACAAGTGTTTGGTGAATGAGTATGTGTGAGGCTGTGATTAAGGATCCACTACCCGGGTAACTAATGACATCTTGCCTTAGTGATAGCCAAAGAGGAAATTAAGGGTTAATTTTACTAATGATATGTCTTAAGATTTTATATAACTAAAACTTTTCAGTGGGCTAACTAGATTGATTCATGCACCATTTTATTTTATTTTTTATTTTTATTTATTTATTGATTGATTGAGATGGAATCTCTCTGTTGCCTAGGTTGGAGTGCAGTGGTGTGATCTCGGCTCACTGCAACCTCTGCTACTGGGTTCAAGTGATTCACCTGACTCAGCCTCCTGAGTAGCTGGGATTACAGGCACTCGCCACCACACCCAGCTAATTTTTGTATTTTTAGTAGAGACAGGGTTTCACCATGTTGGCCAGGCTGGTCTTGAATTCCTGACCTCAGGTGATCCACCCGCCTTGGCCTCCCAAAATGCTGGGATTACAAGTGTGAGCCATCATGTGCAGCTACCATTTTAAAAATTTGTTTGTTTGTTTGTTTGTTTATTTTTTGAGATGGAGTTCTGCTCTGTTGCCAGGCTGGAGTGCAGTGGCACAATCTCAGCTCACTGCACCCTCCGCCTCCCGGGTTCAAGGGATTCCCCTGCCTCAGCCTGCTGAGTAGCTGGGACTACAGGCGTGCACCACCACACCTGGCTAATTTTTTTTTTTTATTTTAGTAGAGACGAGGTTTCACCATGTTGGCCAGGATGGTCTCGATCTCCTGACCTCGTGATCCTCCCGCCTCTGCCTCCCAAAGTGCTGGGATTACGGGTGTGAGCCACTGCACCCGGCCAAAAATTGATATTTTAAAAGGTGTTTCTATATTACACAATTTTACACTGTTAACACAAGACCACTAGATTTGTAGTCCAAAGCTCTGGGCCACAATTTAGTCTTCTCTCTTAGTGTCTGTTGTGTGGCCTTAGACATAAACTCTAAAAAGTTAAAATTAAAATATAAATGGCCTTATGTGCCAGTGAAGCTGAGAATATGTCAGATGTGAATGGACTCTGAAGGTGCTTTATGAATTTCCAAACCATCTTGGGCAGTTCTGGGTGAAGGGGAATCACCAGAGCATAGATCATTCTTTACTGTTCAAACTGAAAAACGTGTAACTTTGGGAAAAATATGTATTTATTATAAATCATCCATTTCATTGGGTGGTTTCAAATTTAGAAGCCAATATATGCTTGTCATAAGAAGACCAATGAATGCAAATGTATATAACCCCAAAGCTCTCTTTTCCTACCCTATTCTGTCTCTGGTCTCCCAGCTAGTGAAGTCAACAGATTAGTGTGGATCCTTCCATCACTTTCTCCTATCTCATTCATGCATAATCAAATAAAAGGAACATACATAAGGTTCAATCTTTTCTGAATACAATCCTAGTATGCATGTTACTCTGTATACTATGTACTTAAATATATACACATACATACAGATAAGAGGTTTATTAAGTTCATAATCTAATGTGGGATCATATTTTATGTACTTATCTGAATCTGGCTTTTCTCACTCAACATTACTTTAGAAAATTCTTTCTTAAGTCAGTATGGATAGTTGGAATTTATGCTTTTTGATGACTAATTGCAAGGCAACATCTTAATTTTTCTTTTTTTCTTTTTTTTAACCTGAAGATATTTTCTAATTTTTATTTTTATTTTTTGAGACGGGATGTCACTCTGTCACCCAGGCTGGATTGCAGTGGTGCGATTACCCCAGGCTCAGGTGACCCTCTCACCTCAGTTTTTGTATTTTTTGGTAGAGACAGAGTTTTGTCATGTTGCCCAGGCTGGTCTCTAACTCCTGGGCTCAAGTGATCCACTAGCCTCGGCCTCCCAGAGTGCTAGGATTACAGGTGTGAGCCACCATGCCTGGTCACATCTTCATTTTTCTAAGCCATTTCTTCTTCTAAAAAGATGGGTTACAAACAGAACCTGTTTCATAACGCTGCTGTAAGGATTAAATAAGAAAATTATCTTAAACAGAATTCCTGGCACATCCTAAGTGCTCAATAAATATTAGATACTATAATTATCTTTCATAAAATGCTTTACTAGTGTGGACAATCCTTTTACAGATTTAAACATGAAAAGACCTTGACATTTTTGCTCTCTTAAACTTTTCATACCAATTACATCTTCCTCCCCTCTTATGCTCCCCTTTCCTTCAGATAAACTCCATAGAAGTCTTTCTCTGGGACTATTTTAATCACCCTCTTTTCCTGTCATCTTGGCTTCTCCCTGGAACATGACAGATATTCAATTTGAGCTGGGCATGGTGCCATGTGCCTGTAGTCCCAGCTACTCAGGAGGCTGAGGTGGAAGAATCACTTGAGTCCAGGAGTTTGAGGCTGTAATGAGCTACAGTTGCGTCTATGAAGCTACTTCACTCTGGCCAGAGCAACACAGTGAGACCCTGTCTCAAAAAAAAAAAAAAAATCTTCAGCTTTAATCTTTTTATTTGTACTTGTTTAGTGAAGTTGCTGTGGGCAAGGAAGCTTCTTGGGCAGGATAGAAGCCAGGGGACAGTAAACCTTCCTAGGCAGAAGAAATACCTAAGAGTCTGTGGTCCAAAGAGGCATGCTACTTTTGGAGAAACACCCAGTTCAGGGTGGAGAAGGATAGATGAGCATGCTCCAGTGTGATGCTTCATTGAGTGCACAGTCAAAAGAGCCCTTGGAGCAGGCAATTACAACATTACTTGGGAGGCCCCTAATCCCCAACATGTGGCAAGCGGAACCCCAGCCACCCCTTGGTCTACCTGGAACAAGACAAAAGCTCACTTCTGCTCTCTTGCTGCAGTGAGAGTCTGGCATGAGCAAGTGAATTGGAAAGATCTACCTGGCAAGTTAGAGTCCAGTGGCAGTAGGGAAGCAGTGTGCTTGATAGAGAAACTGAGATAGAAACCCAATCATATGGTTTGCACTAACACACAAGGGATGTGGGAAAGACTGATGGGTGATGGGTGATGGGCATGGGGGTGTGTGGCTTTCCCCAGGGCTCTGTGAGGCTGGATCTGAGGTAGCATGCTCTCCATGTCCTGGGCTGTACTTAGAGACAGAGGGCATGGGTAACTAGCTGGGTGCATCTGGAGAAGAGAGGAAACAGTGTCATTGTCTTAACCAAACATTCCACATGGCTGCCTGTCACCAGGCTGTATCTGGAAGACAGGTAAACACACAATACCCAGTGTGTCACTTGTTGTAATAGACAAATACGCAAGGGATCATGGAAGCACAGTGCAGAATTTACACTAGGGCCCTAGACAGATGTCTGTGGATTGACTATTGAATGAAGCCTCTGTGCTTTTGTTACAAACAGGAGAGCCTCTGCCTGTCTCTGGAGGAGTCAGGAAGTCTTCCAGAATAGTTGGAATTGAGTGAGTCAGAGTGTGAAGAAGAAGGAAAAAGCATTTTACGCACAGGGAGCTGTGGCCATAGGTAGAGAGATAAGAGTATGTGTACCTGACAAAGGCCAAAATGTTGATGTGGTTGAAGGAGAAGACAAATGAGACTGAGAGGAAGCAGGAAATAGAGCAAGAGAAGCAGACATGAAAGGACTTCATTGACATGCTAAGGAGTGTGAATCTTAAAGGAAATAGAGTCAAGAGAAGACAGCAAGAAGGTCAAGGACATGGTCAAATACAGCAAGACGTATTTCTGAGAAGTTGTGTGTAAGTCAGATAGAAACATGGGAAGTTACCCCATGACATTGTGGTATAGTGTTTTGACCTTTATGGCTACTTAGATAACTTTGGCTCCTAAAACTTTAGTCTTCCATATCCTGGTCCTTGCACCATCAAATACTACCCAAATATCAAGGTCATCATGATTATTACATATTCTTACTTAAATATTCTTAAATATCAAATATTCTTATGATTATTCATAAGAAGATCTGCTAATGAGGCCATCAGAAACTAAGAAAGGACTGTGCATCAAAAAGGCACAAAACGACCAGGCGCGGTAGCTCACACCTGTAATCCCAGCACTTTGGGATGCTGAGGTGGGCAAATCATGAGGTCAGGAGTTTGAGACCAGCCTGACCAACATGGTGAAACCCCGTCTCTACTAAAGATACAAAAAATTAGCTGGGTGTGGTGGTGGGCACCTGTAATTCCAGGTACCCGGGAGGCTGAGGTAGGAAAATCACTTGAACCTGGGAGGCAGAGGTTCCAGTGAGCCGAGATCACGCCATTGCACTCCAGCCTGGGTGAGAGGGCAAGATCTCCATCTCAAAAAAAGAAAAAAAAAAAAAAAAGGCACAGTACTTGGAATCAGGAGAGTTGTATCACTGTTCATGGGGATCCCTGAAGGATCTAGCATGGGAGACATTGATTGGTTATTTACAGTCTATGGTAAAGGAGTTCCCTGAGGGTCAGATTTGACAAGGGAGAAGGAGAGTGCTAAGAATACAGGGGATTAGAGTTATCATCCTGCTCTAAATAACCCATGAGTAACATGGGACTTGGACCCCAGGTGTTAAGAGACAAAGTCTTGAAAGTTTGCTAAATCCTAAAAGCTCCTGGAAAATGTGTGAAGAGTTCCCCTAGTTTCTGAACAGAGTAGTATCTGGAATGCCATGACAGCATGAGTCGATCAGAAGATGTCTAGCATCAGACTGGAGCTAGTCCATCACATGATGTTATAGGCTACTAATTAAAGCTCACTTCTGCACATCAGTGGCTACTTAATGGAGAAGTTGCTGTTAGTTTTTCTTTTATATGCTAATCTCTTGGAGCTTTCAACTTCGCTTTATTCTTTGTTTGATTATTTGTAGCTAATTTTAGAAGTAGTACATGCTCACTATTGTGAAAGAACAAAAGAAAATGGAAAGTAATAAAAGCAGAAAGAAATAAAAAAGAGTTGTTCATACTTTCACACACCAGAGACAATCATAGTGACATTTTGGAGTGTTTTACTTCCTGCATTTTTTCTGTGTGATTTTTATACAATTGAGCTTATAGAACTCTTACAAGAAACAAGAGGGCACCTATTAAGAAAAAGCTCAATGTAGGAATAAAATAAATCAATAACATATCTTTTAAAAATTATGAAAACATGAAAATCAGGAAAACAGTTGAGTCTGATAAAAATCAACAGAAAAAATACAATAAGATTGTTTTTTTTCTCTTGGCAGAAACCAAGATTTGTTTAACATTCATTATCTCAGTGGTGGAAATAATCATCCGAAGTAGACTTTGGTGCTGTCATTTTCCAGGTGAGACTCAGTGACATTAAGTGACCTATGTAGATCAAATAGCTGGGAGCCCTGGAATTCAAAGCCAGGTTTGGTGGGCTCTGAAGCCTCTTCTCATGCTCTACTTGGCTGCATTTTTAATTCTAGAGTTAAAAAAAAAATCATCTTAGAGGGGCTGTTAAAACTATCAAGTTCTACTAAGTTTTATTTTGAAGTTCTCTAATATATTCTACTACTAGATGTTTGTGTATCTATGGTTGCCTTTCTCCTGAGACATCCTCCTGATTCCAAGTGCAGTGATACGAACTAAAATTTTCAGAGTCTTTTATGGTTAATTCACACAGTGCGTTCTAGGTTTCATCAGTGGGATGTGTCCACACAGGACAAAAACTGAAAGTGAGAATTTTGAGAAAATCAGATAGTCTCAGACACCCCATGTGCTTACATAAGTGGTGGCAGAGATGTGAGGTTTTCTTGGGTACCGGTGGTTGCCCAGCTGAGTGTCTTTGAGGCAGAGCCGGCATCAGGGATGTGATCGTGGAGGTTGCATTAAAGCTAAATTCTTAGCATTTTCTGTTTGATACTGGTAGCAGTGACAGTCATGACCCCCTTTTCAACAGCCTTTCATTGTGTGTTTTTCTTTTTTTTAAAAAAAGAACTTTATTGATATGCATTTGCATTCCATACAATAAATCCACTTCAAGGATACAATCTAATTTTTTGTAGTCTATTGACAGAGTTGCATATTCATCATTACAGTGGATTTTAGAATATTTTTATTACTTCCCAGAGAAATCTCATACTGTAGCTGCCAACTCCCAGCTTTCTATCCACTCTCCTCTCCAGCTCTAGGTAACTATGAATCATCTTTCTGCCTATTTGCCTATTTTGGACATCTCATATAAATAAGATCATACAGTATGCGGTCCTTCATGACTGGCTTCTTTCATTTAGGATGATATTTTCAAGGTTCACCAATGTTGTAGCATGGATCATACTTCATTTTTTTCTATTGCTGAGTAACAACAGAAAGAAAATTTTTGTTTTGTGGGCACAGCCTTGAATCTGTTTTCTAGCCTTCTTAAGGATTCTCTGATATCCTTTTACTTAACTTTTGGTAACCCCATTTTCTGCTTAGATTAGCCAGAATGAATTGTGTTTGCAGCTAAGAACCCTAACTGACACATACGGATATATGAAGACTGTGATGTTAAAAAGTCACTTAAACCAAGCCAACCATAAACTAGAAAGAATGAATTGTGTTTGCAGCTAAGAACCCTAACTGACACATACGGATATATGAAGACTCTGATGTTAAAAAGTCACTTAAACCAAGTCAACCATAAACTAGATAGTCTCTAAAGAGCCGTTCAAATTCTGATATTCTCTGAGTTCATTAACTTGTAGAAATAAACTATTAGCCAGACGCCAAAGACCACACAAAATGGCAGCTGACCTCAGGAACCACTCTGACAGGGGGATCTCTTAAGATTGAATATTGGTTAGGGATAAGAACACCTCTTCCCATTTAGCTGGTTCCTGCTGTGCCGCCTCTTTCTATCCGGGATTCCTCTCCGTAGGAGGCATCTAGCTCCTCCACCTTTAGCCAGACATCTCTTCCAAGCCCCAGCCTTATATCTCCAACTCCTTAGTCTCTCTTGTCTTTACCCAAAATCCTACTTGGCCAAAGGGGATTTCATAATCTTTTCTTTGAACCAGTATCCTCTCTGACCTTCCTCATTTTCCTTGGTGTCAGGGAAACTTGAAAGCTGAATTTCACAGTCTTCTCTTGGCCAAGGATTGAAACTTCACGGTCAGGTTTGTACTTCTTTCTTCTGTAGTCACTTGCTCTTCATGTCCAAAAATGACCAATTTCAGCCCTTTCTTCTCCTTTTCTCAGGTTCTTTATATTGTTCCTTCCTTATTCCCACACAAACCACTGTTCCATCGAGGCCTGCATTAGCTCTCTCAGATGCCTTGGAGAACTTTTTTTTTTTTTTCCATTGAGGCATTTTATTTGTAAATATATATTACATCCCAGGAAAAAGAATCCCAGGATTTTCCCTCCTGTGTGTTTTTGTCTTGCTTCTTCGTGGTCCATGATCCCAGCTGAGATTGTTAGTACTATGAAACCAAACAGGTGGGATGGGAGCAGATTATTCTGGCATTTTTCTAGATCTGTGAGTTGCACATCAAATCTGGGGCTGATCACTCCACACTTGTATTACCTCCCTGAGAGGTTTACAATTCACCCAGCTCTGTGATCATCAGTGATTTCAAATTTCCCAATTAGGAACACCGCCTAGTAAGAACCTGGCATTTGCCTCTCTTTTCAGCATTGTTGGTGATCTTGAGAGCTCGGCCAGGACATTCATATGCACCATTGTGGCAGTGGGGAAAGATGATGGAAGGAGCAAGAACTTTTGAATGGGATTCTGTATTTAATTTCTTCCCTTCTAATCTGGTGAGTGGTCTCTGAACTTTGAATTATGTGTCCCAACCAATAACAAATTTGAATACACACTCCCAATATTTACATATATATGTAATATATTTCACTTATTAGGTAGATAAATATACTACAAAAATATATTATTTGCCTTTAGGATATATACACGAAAATAATTTTTAAAAGAATGGTATTGAGAAAATGTAAGTAGATGTTTTGAGATTTTTCTTTCCATACCACAGTAGATTATCTTGTCCATGGGTTGCAAGACCATTGCTCTCATTGGTTCTCTATGCTGAACCAGAACTATCTTCACACTGCTGATATGACGATGTTGGTTTCCTGCTCAAGCCTTCCAAGATCCCCAGGTAGAATATAGTCCTAATACCTTCCCCAAATAGTGGGATTTGAGCTGCTTTTTAAAATCTTTATCTCAAGACAACTCTGCTCATGGTAATTGGCTGGTTTCTCTAGCAAGCTCAGTCCAGTGTAGTCTCCAGGACTTAGTTCCTGAATCTGGAAAGCCATCCCCAGCTGTGCCCTCCTTCCAACTCTTGATCTAAGGTAAGGGTCTTGAGCTTCACTCCCAGAACACAAAATCCCACAGACTATTGTGCCAAATGTCTGATGAGTTTTAATTTTAAAAATGTTTAAATATGTTTATTAAGAATTTCAATATTCAAATGTCTTTAACATGCATATTACATTTATATTCTCATCCTGTAAGTTGGTGATACGGTAGGTATCATTAACCCCTTTCCCAAGGGAAAGCTGAATTTCACGGAAGTTGAAGGACTTACTCAACGTCTCATAGCTATAGAAAAGCCAAGCTAGACCTTGTCTCCAGATTTGACTGGCTCCAGAGCTCATGCTTTTCTCACCATCCACTGCTCCTCTGGTAGAATGATGAGAAAAAAAATGACAAGTTAACTTAGTCCATCCCCTGGAACCTGTCTCCCACCCTGCAGTCATTACCATTTGGAACTCCTTTCTCCTCAAATCCATGGTTCTCAAGTGGGGATAAGATATTCACACCTACTCACTTCGCAAGGCTGCTTGCAGGATTAAAGAGCTAATGTTTGCAAAATACTTTGAGCTTCAAGAAAACAGAGGCTCCAAAGAGCTACAAAGGGTTATTAAAATAGTAGACTTTAAATCCCCTTAACAAGCTCCCTCCCCTTGGAGCTAATCTGGTGTGGATCTTCCTCTTCCATCCTAAATCCCCTGTGAGTCGCTCACCTCTGTATCTTGAGCAACTCTCCAGGGATTTAGGATGGAAGAGGAAGATCCACACCAGATTAGCTTTCTTGTCTTCCACTTCTAGGACTTTCAAATACTAGCCATGGTATTTTAACATAGCCTGTGGAATCCTTATAATGTTTAGAATCCTAGCTTAATGAGGGCCCTTAAAGAGCATCTAATCGAATTCTTAATTGCAGAGGTGAAGACACAGACCCAGGAGAAGCAGGGACATGGCCAGAGAACAGTGGCAAGGTGGCCATGAGCCTCAAGTTACACATCATCCCTGCATTTAGGAGCGAGGCTGGAGAGACTCACACAACCTGTCCCTTACTCCTTCCGAGGTCAGCTTCATTGGCATGTGAGCTGGAACTGGGCCTAGGATGGAAGGGCCCCTAAATACATCCAGCCAGTCCCAATCCAGGGCCAGATCCCTACACTAGGGAAGCAGCTTAGTACACCGAAAGAGTATAGAATGGGGTGCACATCCTTGGGTTCCACCCCCAGCTCCATCCCTTTGTAACTGTATGATCTTGGACTGGATTTGACCTATGGGGTCTCATTGGCTGACTTCTATTCTAAAGCACAAATCTGAGCCTGTTGCATTCATGCTTAATGCTACTTTCTGCAGGCATCAGACCCTTGTCAATATGAACCTTGTCTACCTCATGTCTTATTTATTTATTTATTGACAGAGTCTTGCTCTGTTGCCCAGGCTGGAGTGCAGTGGCATGATCATAGCTCGCTGCACCCTCCAACTCCTAGGTTCCAGCCATTCTTCCACCTCAGCCTCCCGAGTAGCTGGGACTACAGATGTGTGCCACCATGCCCAGCAAATGGCATTTATTTTTTGTAAAGATGAGGTTTCGTTTTGTTGCCCAGGCTGGTCTCAAACTCCTGGGCTCAAGCAGTCCTCCCATCTTGGCGTCTTAAAGCACTGGGATTACAGGCGTGAGCCACCATTCATGGCCCTGCTTCTTTTCTTGACATGGGCATTTCTGCCAATCCCGAGGAGTTCTCTGCTCATTCTGTTTCCTCTGTCCCTGCCTCTTGCCATGTCATGTCCAGTTCATTTTATCCCCAGAACACTGTTCTTTCCCATCTTATTGGCTTGGAGTATTCTCTTACTCAACCTGAAGTCTGAAAGTTTCCTTCTCCCTTCACCCTTCATCTTCACCTTTAACATCTACAAGTGAATGTCATAAATATGTGTTGTGTGCCCACCAGTGTCAGGGCCCAGGTCAGGACCCAGGGAAGCAGGAGGACATGGCTGCCTTCCTGGAGCAGACACGTAATTAGAGACCTGCAAGGATGTGATGATGGAGGAGAGAATAGGCTACTGGGAGGACAGAGGAGGGCTGGGCAGAGGGTGGATGTCAAGGAAAGCTTCCTGAAAGAGGCTGATGCTAAGCTGGAGTTAGAAAGGCACTTAGGAATTAGCCAGGAGGAGGGTAAGAATGAGCGATGGAGTATTTCAGGCAAAGTAGCCAACGTATGTGGGTGAAAGGATTCTCAGAAGGGTTCGTGTTCACATGTCTCTGCCACTGCACTGTGTCCTCCACTAGGCTGTAAGAGTCTTCAGAATAACAATGCTTCCTTGTCCGTTTATGGAGAGATAGCATAGCTTAGGCCAGGGATGGACAAACCATGGTCTATGGAACAGATCCAGCCTGATGACTACTTTTGCATGGTCTATGAGGTAGGAGTGGTTTTATATTTTTAAATGGTTGGGAAAAAAATCAACAGAAGAATAATATTTTAAGAAACAAAAATGTCATGCAATTAAATTGCAGTGTGCATAAATATCATTTTATTAGAAGCCAGCTGTGCCATTCATTTATGTATTATCAATGGCTCTGCTTTTGAGCTATAGCAGCAGACTTGAGTCATTGTGACAGAGAAAATCAGGGCCATGAAACTCAAAATATTTATTATCTGGCTTTCAACAGAAAAAGTTCATCAACCCCTAGCTTAGGCTGTAGAATCAGGCTACCTAGGATCAAATGCCAAACCCTCTTCCTCCTACCTTCGTGATGTTGGGCAAAATACCTCTCTGTGTCACTGTTTCCTCATCTGAGGATTAATTTAGGGATGTTATGAAAACTGGGTTAACATGTTATTAAATAGGAAATGTTTAGAATAGTGTCTTGCATGTAGCAAGCACTCAATAAATGTTTATTATTATTATTGTTGCGGCTGCAGAACCCAGTGGCAGACCTGGCACATTCTATTACTCACAGGATGTTTGTTGAAAGAATGAGTGAGGAAGTAGGTGGCTGAAGGTGTGTTCTAAAGACCCTCACCTGTTTCTGTGAAGCCTTTCAAAAAAGTAGCAATGGGAACCCTGGCCGCACAATGCCTATTCCACTTGCCTTTTCCTCTGGCCAGCATCTCCAGAGCATCTGCTAGCAATCTGGGTCTTGTGGCATTTTTCTCCTTGTGCTGTTAATTTTAAATGAATTTTCAGGCTGTGGATGATGGAGGAAAAAGCAAAGGGTGGGGGAGGGACTCTAAAGCGTGGACAGAAGGGAGCCACAATTACAGAGTTTAGGCACAAGAGATCACGTTTCCTGAGAGCAGGGCCCCCCCAACATAAACAATTTCTCTAAGAAAAAAGAAACAATCATTTCCTGGAGCCCCCTCTTGAGTCCCATGGGGAAAGTGTCCTCTTTGGCATTTGCAACTTGTTCCAGCCTCCCTGGGAAGCCATGCCACCGTGAAACAGAAGGGCAGCAGTGCTTATTTGTAAGTGAAATATCTTTGTGGCTACAAGTCTCCTTTGTGGTTTGGAATTAGGTGCTTGTCCCTGGTGAGGCATTTGTCCTTTACAAACCAGCCCAGAACACTCTGAGCATCTCCAGTGGCACTCTGAACTCATTCTTCAGGGAGCGGTTTTATCTATAAATTGGGACTCCAAAGCTTCTGAGCCAAGTCCAGTCCTGGGTCATTACAGACCCTGCTTCTCACAGGATTAGGTTCCCACATTTACCCTAATATTAGTTTCTGAGTTCTTCAAAGGACATCCTATGGATTCCCATCTGCCTTATCGATGTATTGCCAACAGCTAGCAGAGACCAGAAGAGTAGGTACCACCAACTGTGTGTCCAGTTGGAGGGAGGGGGAGAGCACTTGGCAGTAAAAGAATTCTTTTCAATGAACTGAGCGCCCAGAGGCCGAGCCCTAGCAAAGGAGAAACATCGCAGCCTGTGGGCCAATTGGTGATCATATCGTGTTTACTTCCACCTCCATTCCTTGTTTTCCGATGGGACAGGGTGCAGCGTGTGACTCTTATTCACTTACCTCCCAGTACATCGAGAACTGGAATCTCACTTCAATAGTAATTACCATGATTATAATTCCCTGTGGAACTTGTAGGGTGAGCTCCAAAAACAATTCCTCAAGCTTGTCAAACCACTGCGTCGATTTGCTTATGAAAGGCAGTTCTAATCAAAAGGGGGTAATTACAATATTAAGTGCCAAGCCTTGCTGTGCAAACTCTTGAGTCATAAGATATTAAGCTTAATTGAACTCCATTGAAGGAGGCATGCAGCATCACGCACTCAGCTTTCCGAGTTGAGACGAGCCCAAGCTGAAAACTTCACTCCAGGAAAGTGGACAAATTACCTGATTTATTAGCCATTCCATGATCACAGTGTTATGTAAGTCAGTGCACCTGCCATAGGAAGCTGTTTTCTTTCTGCAGTTTTAATGCTGTAGGGGTTACTAAGTGAAATCCCACCCTGCCTTATAAAACTCTCAGTTCTTTTTGGCTGTAACCCAGCACTGAGGTCAGGCCCTGGCCCTGGCCCTGAACCCATTTATTTACTCATTCATACATTCATTCAATATATATTGAGATTTTTAGTGTGCCAGGTGCTGTGCTGAGAATGGTAGAGGCTGAGATAAATAAATATAACATATTCTACGTCTTCAAGAAACTCACCGTTGGTTTGGGAGGTTGGGCTCACAAGCAGGTGATTAACCTACAATGTGAAAGTACTGTAATAAAAAAATGTTCAGGAGGAGCCGACAAAGGAGTGTCCCAACTTACCTCGGAGAAGTCAGATAAGGTTCCGAGGGGAGGTACCACCTGACTGATTCTAGAAAGATGAGTAGGTGTGAAAGGCTGTGGGGTGTTCTGAGCAGAGGGACCAGCATGTCCCTCTGCTGTGTGACAGAGTGAAAGAACTCTACTTATCATCATATCTTACATATCATCAGGATCATACATATCATCGGGAAGTTACGAATACTTCACTGTGATTTTAAAATGATGTATACCTATACATGTACATATACGCAAGCAGGTGGACAGAGGTTGTGAAGAAGCTCAGGGAAACGGGCCAGTAATAAGATAAGCCTTGTTGGTCATATTAGGACTATCTCCAAACCCTCCTCCCAGAAAGAGGGTCAGAATCCAAGTACTGTGTTTTGGGGAATCTACATGAAAATATGGAGGCAATCACACAGACGTCACACACTCAGACCCTGACACACACCACACACGTGGTCACAGCCTCCTCTCCCCACATGCACACAGGTGCTCCTGCTGGGTGTGGTAGCAACCAAATGGATACGTACCCTTTTACACACAGAGAAAATGACCCAGGTGCCCTTAGGAACGCACCCGCATCTTACAACACAAGTTCGATCTGGGGCTCATTAGCAGCAAAGGAAGTTTTCCTCTAATATGAGCGGGGTGATCAATCATTGCTAGCCGATGGATTGCCTCACTGATGTATATGCCATGCTTACAATCACAGGCTTTCATTAATAATTGAATCATCCTTCGCTTTGGCTAAGATGTTAAAAAGAAAGGCACGCACTTGAATCCATTTATTTCAGGACTTTTGATTCGTTTGTTTTTAAGAACAGGAAACCAAAGATTTCAGGAGGAGAAGAAAAGAAACATTTATTACATCCTCTTGGTGTTCTGTGTGCTTAATATTATTTTAAAGCTAATTTTCTGAGCAACACTCGTGGTGGCTAAATTACTATTTTCATTTTGAAGGTGAAGACCTGGAGGCTCAGGGAGGTTAAACAACTAATCAAGGTCACCCAGAGTATAGATCAAGGACTGAATCATGCAATAAAAAGCTGCTTTTTCTTCTGATAATAATAAAAATGGAGGAGGACAATTACAGTATTTTTTATCAAATAAATTTTACATATTTTATAAAATTAATCAACTTTTATTTTCATCAAATCAATCAATCATGGACCTGGTTGAGATGCAGACCACAGCAATGGAAGAATAGTAGGTGTATGTGTTACTGCTTTCCTTCCACAAGAACCCGAAGAATACATGTCATGCCAGCTGGCTGGATCCACAGTGCTGATAAATGGCAACCTTCAGAAATGAGAATGGTTGTGCATCATCTGCTGAATATGCTCTGGGGCTAATAAGGCCAAGTTCGTGAGCCTGATCTTCTCCTAATCCATTTAGCTTCACCGTATTCTTCCCTTGACAGCTTGCAACAGAGAGGCTAGAGAGAAGGTGTACTGTTGTACACAAATGCATCCGTCTACAAGAGTAAGCATTCCAAGTTTGGGGTCAATGACCAGCATATCAGAACCCAGCACAGGCCTAATGGTCTGAGACGGAGAGACAGACCATCTGGCCAGTCCTCAAGGCTGCAGATTTCCAAGGTAAAACTTGGTATTCCTCGGCCCCTTTGGGGTTAGAAACAATTGAAGCTCTTTTTACTTTGAATGTGTTAGAAGGGTAAGAGTTTTTCCTTAAGCTCTTTGAATGAATAAGTAATTGCCCAGACATTCTTTTTTTTTATTTTCCACCTGAGACTTTCCTTTTGTTACTGAATGAGTAGCACCAATAATTACTGGCAGTTGCTCATTACTTCCTAATGTGATAAGCAATGCTAATCTCTATCCTTATTTGGAAATACTTCTATTTGTATGCAATGTTTAAAAAGAAACTATGAGATTTCATTTCTATTTCTCTCCATTTCAATTCTTAGTGGGTTAGAATACAAGGAGAATATGTTCTTGCTGCTCCTGGCTCAACAGTTTAAAGCCTGACTAATACAGTTCCATCTCAGGAATAACTCAGTGCTGTTGAACTTTTCCTTGGGAGGCTCTGGGAGAGGCTTGGAGATTTGGCAACAAGGTTACATCAGGTCATATTATTCAGACCTTTCTGATAGCAGATTTCCTGGGAGGCTGGTATCTTTGATTGGCCTGTCATTTCCAGGCTTTGATAGTGTGGAAAGAGCAGTGAGAGGTTAGTCAAGTAACAATGCTTCTAGACTTAGTGACTAGCTAAGTGACCTTGGATAATTCATATCCACTCTCTGGACTCCAGTTTTCTTCTCTGTAAAATGAAGGGCTTATGCCAGAAGTTTCCTCATAGTTATGTTATCAGAAGTTTAGCAATACAGCAAACATTTATTGAGCATCTACTGTGTTTAAGACGTTGAACTAAATGCTGCAAATGAAAAGGTGAATCACAACTAGTGGTATCTTCTGAGTTTTCAGAGACTAGAGGGAAAAGCAGATACTGATGGTGTTAACACAATGTGTATGCTGTGTTAGAAGTCTATACCATCCATTATTCTATGAAATATTCTCCATGTATTCATGCACATGGATAAACTGGCTTTTGAATCCATGGAGTAAAAGGACGTTAAGCCGTACGGGTTCTCAGGACTGGAGTTGGTGTACAAGCATGGACAGATTGATTACTTTGGGGAAACTCATTCAGTTCCAGTATTGTTGTTGTTTTTACCTTCATGCAACCGTGTTCTCCATAAAAACAACAGCAAGCCATGCAGATAGAAGTTCTGTCAACAAGCCTGTTATTAATTATTATCATAATGATCTAAACCAACCTGCTGAGCTTTTTGATGTTTGCTCAGCTCCATGGATTAAGATGAAAATCTGGGTGTGATCTCTATCATTGTCACATTAGGATCCATGGCCCATTAATCTCAGGCTACAAACGACCATAGGTAACCTCAAATATACACATTTTACCCATGGGCTCTATGCACTACTTCCGTGCCCCCTGCTCTGCCTCCCATAAAACTTGAGGCTTAAGGAAGCTTTTCTGGGTGAAATCTAGCTAGAATGGACTTTCCCTCGATTCCGGAGTCGTCCAAAATGTTTTCCAAGTGTTTCCCTTCAAGTTGAATCCTCAGTGGCCGTGGAAACTTGCCAAACAAGATACTTTCCAAGACTAATATCTTGACAACAAAATTTGTAAAAGATGAAAGAAAAGGCTGGGGGAGGGCATGCAAACATCAACACTTTAGGCTCGAACTCAAGATGTAAACACAGAGCAAAAGGATGTCAGGGGACTGCTTTACGCAGCTGTGAGGTTAGTAAGGGAGACCTGGGTTCTATTTCAGCCCTGCTCTTGCTTCATGTATGACCTGGGGATATGGTAGCTAGGACCATAGGATTTGGAAACAAGCACACTCAGGTTAAGAGGTCTGTAACCTTGCTCATATAAGTTAATTTCCCTGTCAGGCCATGTGCAGCTGAGAGACAAAAAACAACAATAAAATAGCCCTAAGAAAGCTAAGAGTCACAATAGCAGCAAATGAGAAAATGATAGGAAAACACAGTCTCCACAAACCCAAAGTTAAAGGAACATTCCACCTTTTAATGTGTATGAGAGTTTTGTAAACTGTAAAGTGCCTGTGCACATAGATGTCATAGGTGCAGATGGCCATTGTGAGGTAGGCCCTCTTGGTCTCATATTTGGGGACCTGAAAAAATGTACTTAATGTACTTCTTGGGAAAACCTTGAAAATCTAATGGATAGCTTGATTTTAAGCTGTTTTAGAACGGATTGAAGGAAGACGACTCCGTTCAGATAAGCAAAAAGGATGTCCCTGAGAGTTTATCTTTTTGGATCTAACCTACCTTTTCCCAGGCCCAGTAAAGTGCCTCACACAAAGTAGGCATCCCATGAATTAAGAATCTTATTGTATTGTATCAGTTCATTGGGTACTTCCTAATGATCTCTCACATTGTCTTTTATTCCTCTTCTCCCACTAACCACTCTCAAATATCCCTTTTGTGATTATTTATGACAGAGCAGCAATATAGCTCACCTTTGAATGAACATGGACCATGCAAACTGTCATATGCTTGGTGACTCCTTTAAGTCACTCAGAAATTTATTATGGCAAGCTTGATCCTTAAAGAATGTCTCCTTTTACATCTCCTAATATACACAGGTTGCGTGTGTGAACACCTGCTCAGGTCCCCACATTTTATGGAAATGACACTGAATCATTTTGCAACAAAGGAAGGGCTTTGGATACTTCTTGGAGGTGTGTCTGAGTGACAGGATCTGGGCAAACCAGTTGAATGGGTGCACCCCTAAGCAACCAGTGGCCTACTCTGGAAGGAATTGAGTTCTGAAACCAGAAGGAACCATGATTACAGAAGTTCCTAAGCTTTCCTACCTATAAGGCAGAGATGCTGTATTCTTCACAACAGAAAATCTAGCCACATGTAAGGAGGCTGCTAACCAGAAGATGGCCTATTGTTCAGCAGGCTAAGAACTACTCACATCTTTCCACTTAGATTCTCTTGGCTAGAGAGCCCTTTACAGAGCTTCCAGTCCAGTGTTTTTTGTCTTCTCTTCAAGGCAGTCCTAGAATTACCCCAAGCTGCCTTAGAATCAACCTTAGGGGCAAGAAAATGGGGCTAAGTAAGTTCTTGAGATTTCTGTTTCCATACAGAAACTCTGATTTTGTTCTCTTTTATATCTTGGGATTCTTTGAATGATTTATTTTAAGGAAAGAGTACGTCTGCCTAATAAAAGTATTTAAAAAGAATTCCTCCCCCCCCCATCACCCTTTTTTTTTTTTTTTTTAAAGGCAAATTGGGTCCAGGAGATGAAAAGTGAAACTAATCCCTTTAACAAAGACTTCCATGTTGCCAAAGTCAACCCTTTTTCTACTCGACCTCTTGGCAGCATTTGATCCCAGTTTATCACTCCCTCCATCTTGAGTTGTTTTCTTCTCTTGGCTTCCATGACAATGTACTCTCCTAGAGTTTGTCTTCCAGTACTGTCTGATTCCTCTCGGTCTTTTTCCTGGCCCCCAATACTCCAGCTCCAAATGCTGGCCTTTCCAGGGCTCTGCACTGAGACTTTCTCTCTTCTTCAACTATATGCTCCCCCTAGGAATCACATCTACTCTCATAGCTTTAAATTCTGTCCTCATACAAATGATTCCTACTTGCATAATCACACTTCTGATCTCCTCTTACTGGACTCAAAACTCGTATATGAACTTTATGTCTTCTCCACTTGAGTGTCTCAAACTAGACATTTTGAAGGTGGAAATCTTGGTCTCCCTCCTCCCCCAACCCCATCTATACCTTGTCCAGCTGTCCCTGCCCAGTAACTGACGACCTTCCCTGTCGCCTAGCATATGAACTGGAGTAATAGTCCTATGTGTTGAATATGTTGCCCACAGGACTGCCCCTGCAGCATGGGCGAAAAGTTAGAATTTCTTTCTCTCACCCCTACATTTAACCCATCAGCACCAGGACTCTAGTTCATAAACATACATCAGGTCCTGGTCTACAGACACTATCTGAACTTGTGCCATCTGTTTTCACCTACATCAATGAATAGCCTCTTAATAGGTCTCATTGCTTGTATTCTGGTCTCCACTTCCCTCATAATCCATTCTCCCTATGGTTTTAAATATGTAAATCAAATAATATTATTCTCCTGCTCAAAACCTTTTAGCCACCTGTTGCATATATAATAAAACCACCATTCTTCCCCAGGCCTGTGGAGCCCCTGCCTTCCTCACTGACCTCACGTGGAATGACTCCTACATTCACTCCCCGAGCTCCAGGCACACAGGCTTTCTTCTGATTCCTGGAACATCCCAAGCTTGGTTTTACATGAGGCTCTTGTAAGAGAAGCTGCCTCTTCCTGGAATGTTTTTCTCTTAGGTCTCAAACTCAAGTCTAAATATTACTGCTGGCCTCCAAAAAAACTTTCCTTGACTTCCTTTTCAAAATGTTGCCTTCCCAGACACTTTGTAGCATATTTCCTCCTTTTAATTCAAATACCTATTATCTAACACTTATTTTTTCTTTCATTTCTTATTATTTAATGCACTATTTTCCTCCCATCAAAGTCCATGAGAACAGGAATCTTTCCTGTCTTGTGCAATGCTTTTCCCCAGCTCCTAGAACAATTCCCAGCACATGATTAACATTCAGTGGGTATTTACTGAACACATGAATTGAAAGTGACTCTTTTAAAGACAGCCCTGGCAGAACCAGGCTGCCAAACTCCCACGTCAATGAAGGACTCATGAATTGACTTCTAGAGTCTCTGTTCAGGACACAGCGTTTTATGGATCTATGTAATGACTTCCTTCCCACTGAGCAAAGAAACGAAATAAAGTTGCTAGAGATATAACCTGTAGAGTTATGGGAATATTTTACTGCCTAGAAAATAATCTACTTATTCAATAAACATTTATTGAGGGCCTATTACGTGGAAGTTAGGCGCCAGGAATATAAACATGAACAAGATAAAATCTCACCCTCTTCTGTAGACAAGGATAGAGACATCTAAGCATATGGTGACAGTATTAACATTTTAGTGGTCATAATAATAGCCAGTGCTTACTGAGCACTTAGCAATGGGGCACTCTTCTGAGGACTTAAAGTACTTGGCACATTTATTTCTATGTTGTATATACTACTCTTCCCCTCATTCTGCAGTTGAGGAAACTGAGTCATAGTTTAGGTAATTTGCACAAGGTCAAAGAGAGCATGTGCAGAGCTGGGCTTTGCATCCTGATAGGGTATTGGGGAGCATGTTCCCTCAGCATGATGCTCTGCTGCCTCTCTCCTACAGGCGTGCAGGAATTGATTTGGGGACACAAGAAGGAATAATTCTCTCTGTCCTTGGTGGCGAGGGAGATTCAGTGAAGAATTTACTATGGAAATGATCTTTGAGCTTGGTACTTGCAGGTTGAGATGGTGTTCCCCATAGGGACATGTTGTAGGGAGACCCAAGGTAGAACAGCTGAGCAGAGCCACTGAGTTGCAAAAGGGCATCATTGTCTTGGAAACCTTGTGGGATTTGGTGGGGCTGGCACATCATGAGTAGTAAAGAAGAGATGCAGGGTGAAACTATAGAGAAATGCAGGGGCCATGATGAGAAGTTTCTTCTATTGCAGATTAAGAATGAATTTTACACCCTTGGCAATGGGGAGCAACTGGAGATATTTAAGCTAATGAATGACACATTCTAAGTTTGCTTTAGAGAGGTCACATAAAAGGCGGATGGGAGAAGGAGAGAGAAGTCAAAGGGAGACTATTTAAAAAGTTCTTGCAGTGGTCCAGGCAGGAGATGCTGAGGACTCGTGGGGCCTCGTGGCCCCTGTCTCCTAGGGGTAAGAGAGGTGCCCCTGGTGGTCTAATGCTGTGTGTGGAAGGAGAGAGAGGGCAGTCACCTGGGGTAAACTCAGGGTGTTTGCTGAAGGCGGGTACAGGCCACTTCCCCAGCCACCAAGGAAGTCAGCACAGTTGCCCTGGCCTCTGTATAGCTGCCCCACCCTTTGACTCCAGCCAGCTGTTGGCAGGACTCTGACATAGCCTCCTCACCACTGCTGTGGCTTCAGGCTTTGACAGGAAAAGGCTGCTGTCCTCTTGTTAAGGGCTGTGCCTCAGCCAAGTGCAGAAGTGATGTCAATGCCTTTCTGCCCTGCCTGTCTCAGAGTTCTTTCAAAACAGGCTTTAAAAACATGCTGAGGTCACAGAGAATGTGTTAACTTGTTTGGTGGATTATTATCATTTTATCACTCTTGTGATTGGCTAGAGGAGATGAGCTCTACAGTACTTAAGAGAGCATGGGAATTTCCATGCTCTAGAATTGATAAATGGGAATAATCAAAGAAAAGATCAGTAGCAAGTCCTTGCCTTCAGAAAGAACAAGACCCCTAAGTTTTTCCCATAGTACTCAAAATCAGTAGAAAGAAGGTTTTGGCTTTTGAATTTTAAATAGATTCATTGATTTTAAATAAATCGATCACAATAAATTTTGCATAAGAAAGAAATCCTAAATAAAAAGAATTCCACTCCAACTCTACAAAAGAGTTGTCTTCTATAATGAAGACCCAATGAGAGCCAGCTGTGGTCAAAATGTCTTCAGTTGTTGTCCTGGTAGCAAATGGAAATTGTCCTTCCTTCAACTACTCTTACCTCTCCTCATCTGAACATTTTCACAGGTGCTTACTGGCATCCCAAATTGCTCTCCATGGCAAAGTCTTTCAGGACAAAATCTAGGCGTTTATGAGATGAGTAGCTGGAAGTGATATGTTCTCAATGTTCCCTGCTGGGTTTTAAAAAATTATGTTTTTTTTTCCGCTAAGCACCTACCTGGAAGACCTGATATTAACCTTATTTCAACTCTTGATCCCAATGATTAAAAATATAATTGCTATCAGTATAGTTATTACAACAAAACTTCGCTGTCATCAACTTGGTTGTATACTGTAATTTTATCCAAAATAACACATTTGTAGAGAGTTGTAGATGTTTTTAGACATAAGAGATCTTTTACCAGCTTAAGGATTCTATGGACCTTACCATGTTTGTGAATATGTGAGCTATGATGCTGGAGGATTTCAGTATGCTGAAGAATTGTTGCAGTACACTAGATGTCTTAAAATGATTGCAGCTAGTTGCTTAAGTTGGAAGTGTTTAAAAGTGTATTCCAAACACAAGTTATAGGAAATATTTTGAGGCAAAAAATTTCCATTGTATACTAATTCTAGAATATGGCACATATTTTTGTTTTGGAGATTTACAATACAATAAAGAAACCATGTTCTGTCCAATTCTACTTAAACACAGCATTTGTTACACTTTTATTGACCACAGAATCATAGTGTGCATGTGTGTATGTGTGTGCGCAACAATGTAAGAAATCTGCAATAATGATTCTCTTAAGGTTTGACTAAAAAAAAAAAAACTGCAAGGCACATGAGTATAACCAATAAAATGACCTGTGAATGGATTTTTCATTCAGGTTCTATTGCCGTTAGCTCTTCGAGATCTTTCTGAATTTTGCGTAGTCAGTTGTAAGTTCATTCTCATGACTTTCTCCAGCCTTGCTGTTTGCCATACCATGGCATTTTTCTTCCTTACCAATGATCTAGGTTTCCCCCCACCTCCAATTCACTCTCCACCTGCAGGTTAGTTGGACTCCATCATCATCATCAGGCTCCTCCCACTGCTCTTCCAGGTCACAGCTAAACAACTGAAATGCCATTCCAGATGTTTCTCAGATGCCTTTGTCCCCACACTCTTTGAACCAGTTGATAACGTTCAAAGTTATTTTATTCTTGGAATGCCACCTTCCTCAAGCTTCAAAATACTGAACTGCCAAGGTTGTTCCTGATACATCAGCCACCCCTTCTCTTCCTCTATACGTCTCTTTTTCTTTCTTCCCTCACTCCAGATAAAGTAAGCTACTATCTGTTAAGAATCTGTTATGTACTTTATGTATTTTATCTCATTCGATCTTCACAATGGAAATCAGATGTAGGAGTCCCCTCTTACTGTTAAGAAACCAAGGATCAGAGAGCTCGAGATACTTGTTCAAGGTCACGCAGCTAGTAAGTGGCAGGATAAGAATTCCCATTTTAATTTCTCAAAACACCCAATTCTGTGTCACTTTTTCTACTTCTATATCTCAAACAGGGCATGGGTACCCCTGGGTGAGAGAGTAGGCAAAATCGCTGGTTAGGTATGGAGAATCTACGACTATCTACACCACTTAACATCATGGAAAAACAGTAAATAATATATTTTCAAGGTGAAACAAAACAGTCCATCATATGAGCTAGAATACATACTTCAAAAGAAATTTTAAGATGGACCTTAAGTCTACAATGGAATGTTGTAACTCTCAGGGATGTCACTTGGCTCTTGTTGACTGACACATTCTGGGCACTCAAT
Source organism: Homo sapiens (assembly GCF_000001405.40). Classification (NCBI taxonomy): domain Eukaryota; kingdom Metazoa; phylum Chordata; class Mammalia; order Primates; family Hominidae; genus Homo; species Homo sapiens. The sequence continues at coordinate 107,979,324 of NC_000009.12, forward strand.
ATAGCCACTAGCAGCAGCAATAGCACCATTGTTGTTATTGTTTTTACTCTGTCCCAGAATCTGTGCTCAGATGCTGCAGGTAAGATGGTGGTAGATAAAAATGACGTGGTTTCCACCCTAATGTAGTTCACACTCTAGTGGATAAGACAGGAAATCACCATGCAATATATAATTGCAAACTGCAGTAAGTGTGGGGAGTTATGAGAGCGTGTAGCAGGAGGAACTGATGTAGTGGTGGGGAGGAAGAGGCACGAGTGATGAGGAAGGTTCCCGAGGGCAATGATAATGAACTGAGATCTGAAGAATGAGTGGAGTTAAGTGAGTGAATTAGTATGTGAAAAGTGCTCTCCTGGGAAGGACCAAACTATATGAAGGCTTCTGAGCATGGAGTTTTGCAAAGACAGAAACACCAATGTGCCTGGAGCCTGGAAATCAAGGTGTAGAGTGGCTGAGGATGAGTCTGGATAGGTAAACTGGACCTAAGCCAGGTATGATATTGTAGACAGCAGTAGGAGATTTTGTTTTGTCCTAAGACAAGTGGCAAACTGTTGAAGGTTTTAAGTAAAGGAGTGACATGCTATGACTTAGGCTGTTGTGGGGAGAATGCATTGGGATGAATGGCAAAAATCGAAGGGCAGTGATCAGTTAAAAGTTCTTTCAGTAGTTCAGGACTAGGATGATAGTGGAGGCAGAGAGAGATCTACCAATTTGAAGATATTCAGATTCAAGAATGGCTTACATGTAGAGGGTGACAGAGAAAAAGGTATCAAGGACAATGCCTGGATGTCTAGCTTGGGGAGTTGTGTGGACAATGGTAACATGCTTGAGGCCACCTAGTTAGTAACCAGCAGGGTCAGGCCTGTGACCCAAGGCTTGGGTGATGACCTGTAACACATCACAGCTCTTCCCAGTGACAGGGCTTGAAATCCTTCTGCTCCAGTTGAGATATTACGTCCTTGCATATGGGCCTCATGAAAAGTTCTTCTAAAATTGGAAACTTCTAACAACCTTGGACTTGGAGTTAAGATATCTTAGATTAAAATTCTTGTAGCATGAACAGGTCACTCAACATCGCTGAGCAAGCATCCTCATTCAGTTCAACACACATAGTCCAAATACTTGTTTCAAAACGAAGTGCTGTGGGAGGTAGAAGAGATGGGTTCAATCTGCAACAGAGACGTCTTCATGTGAATCTGGGACCATTTCTGGTCCTCTCCTCAAGTCACACTGCTGTCTTTTCCTCTATGGGTTGCTTCTGTGGTATGGGAGCTGAGAGGAGCTTTTGATTGAATGTATTTTTGCTCTGCAATTTCAGGCGAAGTCAGCTGTAATTTCCTGCATGTTAGAGGCCCAGGAAATGTGTAGTGATGACAAAACTTGCCCCTTAATCTGTTCCTCATCATCAGCAGGTGGGCTACTAGAACGTTATTTGTGTTGAGATCTGGAAATAAAAATATGGCTAGTCATGAGTGTAAGGCAAAGGACCTCAAAGTTTCTGGTGCATAAGAATCACTGGGGTGGCTTTTTAAAACACAGATCTCTGGGCCCTGCTAACCCAGAAATTCTAATTCAGGAAGTCAGGATGCAACGAAGAAATCTGTATTTTAGTAAACTTCCAAGATGAATCTCACGCTGATGATCTAACTGCTACATTGAAAGAAACATTGGCTTGGGGGTTGTCAATTTGGCTGTGATTCCTTGAGGGTAGAAACCTTGTCTGCTTTACTATACCAAGACCTACTTGGTTGCTCCATAAACATCTGAGTTAAATTGAAAAATCTTTGAGTTTTTCCAAATGGAATTACTATGTTGTGGCCCAATTTTTCCTCCCAGCCATCTCGTTAAATTTTTGATGACTCTGCTTTTATTTTAAGGACAATGCATTTGAGGGACATTCTCAAGTTTTGTATTGATGTTAGAGAGGGGTGAGGTTCAGGAAAATTTGGTGTGTGTGCATTTGCACGTGTGTGGGTGTGTGTATGTGTGATACTAGAAGTTTATGGAAATCCAAAAGTACTATCAAGTAAGCAAAAAGGGCTTGGGACTCCCATTTGTGAGAACCTGCTGCTGATGGGACCCCCTTCCAATTCTACCATTCACTCAGGATTTGCCTGAAGATATATAACTAAAATTAAGCTAGGCCCATGCCGAACCAGGCACATATCTTACTGCTGAGACAGTCTCCCCAGGCCCAGGTAGCCAAAACTCCAAGAGTCTCCTCACAGCCCTGGCCCTGGAGGCAGCTTCCTGAGGGCTGTTCAGCTACTTTGACCGCATAGGTTTTTATTCTCCTTGCTATGCTTTCTCATCTGCAGCAGCTCATCTGTGCATTTTCTTTTCTTTTCTTTTTCTTTCCTTTCTTTTCTTTCTTTTTCTTTTTTTCTTTTTTTTTTTTTTTTGAGATGGAGTCTTTCTCTGTCACCCAGGCTGGAGTACAGTGGTGCAATCTCGGCCTCCCGGGTTCAAGCGATTCTCCTGCCTCAGCCTCCCAAGTAGCTGAGATTACAGGCGCCTGCCACCATGCCCAGCTAATTTTTCGTATTTTTAGTAGAGACAGGGTTAAGTGCTGAAGGCATGAGCCATTGCTCCCAGCCTCATCCATGCATTTTCTTCCACACCTCCTTCCGGCCGGTATTAAAATATTCTTCTGTTTGTGAGAGTCAAATTTTCCAAGGGCTGGAGCAGAACACACCCATCAAGCTTGCTCTTGTAACCTCTGCAGGCATGGCCCCTGACCACCTTTCTTATATCACTCATGTCCTGACACATTTTTAGAAAGTAAAATTTGAAACAAATCATACACTTGGTAGACATGTGATTTCAACATATCATGTACAAGAGGATGTTCATATAGGAAACTCAGGGTAAAGAGCAGGCCTTGAAAGTGAGAAGGAAAACAGCTCTAAGGGACTAGTCACTTCCCTCATCCTAACCAAAGTACCCATTAGTGTTGACCCTCATTGCTTAACCCTTCTATTCCCCCAGCCACTGCCCCACATCTCACTTCCAAAATGGTTCATGGTTTCTGAAGGAATCTGATTTTGCCCGTGACCTTTGATTGATCATGGGACCAATGTCAGCTTACAGAAGTCCACCAGGTGGATAAGAAGAACTTGGAAAAATGCAAAACCAGGCTTGAATCCTGACTCGTCCCTCCTCTGCATGAGTGACCTTTGATGAAATCTTCCACTCTGAAAAATACCTATGTGGTTGCTCTCTGCCTTACAGATGCAGATGAACATCAGAGCAAGGAGAACTGTGACTTAGAGAGACTTGGAAGCCTGTTTTATGTTGGAGCAGGCCCTATGAGTAGGATGTAGGGTTCCTGGCTTAAAGAAATTGTTAAGGTTTATTTTAGCATCAGAATTTCTGCTCCTCCTTTAAAAAATTGAATTTTAAATAAAAACACCTTCATTTGTTTTTCTTATTTGTATTATTTAACTTTCAGTATACCAATTGTATGTCTGAAGGCTCTAAGGGCATTTATTGTGTAGGAAACTCATAAATGTGGAAAGCCATTCCATGAGGTTTACTGAACAAATGAGACAGTGAGTCCTAGTCTGAATTGAAGGTTCTCAAATGCTGACAGTCTCCTCCTAGTGCAATGTTCCTCTTGCATTTGAATCGAGATTTAGTTCCTTAAACTGAAAGCCACTCAGCAGCAATCTCCTCCCATTTTTCTAATTTGAGGTTGGCCTTCAGATGAATGTAAAGCAATTTCAAGGATGCCGTGGAAAGAAGCAAGAACAAGTTTGTTGGCCAACTTTCCTTGTGTGTACAGGCAACTCCCACCCCGCCCCCCCATACTCCTATGTCTGAATCTAGCCCATGTTCAGAACACCCTTTCCTTCATAAGTCATTAGAAAAAGAATGGCTTCTTCCCCAAAGGTCAAAGCTATTGCTCAGATGTTCCGTTTACTAGAGAGGTTGACTTGAAGAATATTCTGGGCTCCACCCAACCCCACATGGGTAAACAGTGCACTCTCATACAGAATAGGAGGGAAGGAATCTTATCAGACAGGATTTTACTGGCCAGGAATAAACCAATGATTTAACCTAGACAGTATGACCCGAGGAAAGAAATTACTATTCTGTCAACCCATTCCAGCACCAGCTAAAGTATCAAAACATCCAGATTCCTAAGGGCTCTCAAGTTTGGCTTAGAACATTAGTCATTTATTGAGAACTACTATGTGGCTTATGCTAGGTTGGGCACAAAGAAAAATGAGAAAACATGTCTTAAGTGCCTTAGGACAGCGCCAGGATCTGACTCATAGTAACTGTTTAAAAAATGTGATTATTATTACTATTATTTAAATCATTTATTGTTCTTGTTGTTACTGTTGGGTATCATAGTTCCTGGGTAGGTTTGCTATCTTGTGCCAGTTGCATTCAACATCATTGATATCCCTTCTTAGACCTCCCTCCTATGAAGTTCTCCTACTTATTGGACCCCAACTTCTCTGTTTTCTCCTCGATACCACCTCTTGGCTTTTTCTCTTCTCTGAACCCATGATGGGGTGGAGATTTCTGAGGACTCGTGGATTAGCTCTGGTTTTCTCTGCCCACTCTTTTCTCCTGGTGCTCTTCCGCCCTTACTGTAGCATGATGATACTTTCCAAGCCTGTCCCTTGAGCCCAGCCCTCCCTCCCACTGTGTTTCCAGATGATAATAATTAAACTGTATGAATATCTCTTATAACATTCAACTGCTTCCAAACACATTCATCTTCTTGCCTCATCAGCTCCAACCTGCAGGAGTCCCTTTTTGTCAGTGGCAACCTTTATGCAGCTCATTCAGTTTCACAATTTGGGATTATCCTTTCCTAGCAGTTTGCTTTCTTCCCTATGTTGATTCTAAAAATTAGTTCTTCAAATTTCTATTATAGAAACAAATGTGTATATGTAATATGTGTATATATTATATATGTAATATGTATATATATTATATATGTAATATGTATATATTATATATGTAATATGTATATATGTAGTATGTATACATATAGTATGTATACAATAGATACTAACCTAATTATTATAATATATAACATACATAGCCTATGTGTATATATATGGACACATTTGTTTTTTGTGATATATATATTATGTCTATTATCTTATCTATCATCTATCTATGTATCTCTCTCTCTCTCTCTCTCACACACACATATTATTCCATCCTTTTCTTTCTGGTTTCACTGTGATCTATTCTGGATGATAACAGAAACCTAATTTCTCTCCCTCTAGTCTGTGAGCTTCTTTAGGGCAGGTACCAATAATTATATGCCTCCATATGCCCCAGAGTCTGATAGGAGCTCCATAATATTTCCTGTGTATACATGACCAATAAATGTATACGTGAATGAATGAACTAGCGTGTTGATCTTTCTGCCACCAGTTTTTCCCTCTCTAGCTAGTCATGCCCGCTGCAAGCATACCTACCTCCTGAAAATTCCACCTTCATCCTCTTACTCCCTGGCTCAAAAATATAACTGGCTCCCCATTACTCTTGAGGGGAGCTTTCAGACCACAACCACCCCACTATTTTGATGTTTTGTTCAATGCCACCTCCTACTGTTGTCTGCGTAAAGCCTAATGCCAGGGAGGTTGGACTCTCTCAGGCACTGGATCAGTGGATTTCTGTATACTGATTCTTTCCAGATCCTTGTTTATGACTTTCTAACCTTTCTCTCTGACCATCCATCATTCAATGCCCACCTCTCGAGACCTTAGCAACAATATAGCCCACATGGACACAGTCACTGTTCTGAACTTCCCACACCCACATCTCCTCTGCTTGTCTCCTCATCAAATGCTGTCCTGTATTATTATCTGACAGTAAATTTATCACGTCTTGAGACTAGGAGCCATGTCTTATGTTTCTTTTGGATCTGCATCATTGTTAAGAACAAAATTGATGGCCCTTGAAGTCTTACCAAAGTGAACTAAATGCAACATTAATTTTACAGGAGACTGTTCTTTAAAATGTAAAGCTGAGCTTGGCCTCTCTTGTTTCCATCTAATCACTAAATTTACTTCTTCACATATGGAGTGGTCAAAGTCAAATTTTTGGGTTTCCAGTATATCTTTTTTTTTTTTTTTTTTTTTTTTTTTGAGACAGAGTCTCGCTGTGGCACCCAGACTGGAGTGCAGTGGCACAGTCTCGGCTCACTGCAAGCTCCGCCTTCCGGGTTCACGCCATTCTCCTGCCTCAGCCTCCCGAGTAGCTGGGACTACAGGTGCCCGCCACTGCGCCCAGCTAATTTTTTGTATTTTTAGTAGAGACGGGGTTTCAGTGTGGTCTCGATCTCCTGACCTGGTGATCCACCCACCTCAGCCTCCCAAAGTGCTGGGATTACAGGCGTGAGCCACCGCCCCCAGCCTTCCAGTATATCTTGTATAACATGTAGATCCTAATCATGGTGACAAAAATGGTAGTAGCTGAAATATTTGAGTGCTTACTATACTATGTGCAAGGCCCTGTACCAAGGATTTTAATATTTTGATTTAAATCATCTTGAAACTCCTGTAAATTTTATTACCCCACTCTGCAGATAAGGAGACACACCAAGGCTTCAAATATTCATCAAGCCCTGACTCAATTTCATGCCCAGTGCTATATATGCTAAGGTGATATCAGAATTAGTAATTAGCCCTTCCTCTGTCAAATGAAGGCTGTGACCAATCCTGCCCAATGTCCAAACAATGTCTTAAAAATAATCTCTAAACCTAACTTCTACAGTCTTCCTCCTAATAACCTATCTCCCCTGTTTAATCATGAGAAAATATCAGCACATTCAAATGGAAGAGTATTCTAGAATACACCTGACCAGTACGCCTCTGAACTGTCAAGGTCATCAAAAAATAAGAAAAGCCCAAGAAATTGTCACAGCCAAGGAGATACAATGATTAAATGTAATGTGGTATCCTAGATGGGATCTGGAACAGAAAAGGCTATTAGGTAAAATATAAGGAAATCTGAATAAAGTATGGACTTTAGTTTATACTAATGTATTAATACTGGTTTATTCATTGTAACACATGTCCCATAGTAATATAAGATACTAACTGGAAAACTGATTATGGAGTATATGGGAACTCTCTGTAAGAGCCTCTCAGTTGTTTTCTATAAATTAAAAACTGTTCTAAAATATAAAATCTACTAAAAAATAAGGGTCGTGGGTGACTGGCAGGTTGGTGGGGCTGATAAGGTAGGGAATCTAAGCAAAAGAGGCCATTGTGGTGGGTGACAAAGCGAGGAAGATGGCGAGTTTGGTTTTAGAGGTAGTGCCTTGGAGGGTCTGCTAGGAGGTCCAGATGTCTGATAAGCAGCTGAAGAGCATGATTTGGAGTCTCGGGGTGGGGGCGGAAGACCTGGTTTGGAGACACTTGGGAGTCATTATGCACATAGGTGGTAGTTGAAGCATTTGATGTCCTAAACACCATTTTGGGGATGAGCAGCCAGCAACTCTGTTATTACTGTGTGGAGGATGAGGCGGAGGAGGCTGGGGGAGAGCCAGTTTGATTATAACTGCAGAGCAGCTGGAGCCTTTCATCGTCGGGGGGCCCAAACCATCCTTGTGGGCACAGATGCTGTGTTTTCCCTCATTCTGGAAGGCATTTCCTGAGACAGACTCTGGATATGATAATTATGCTGGTTAGTAAGTTGATCTAGCCTCAACTGCATAGACAGGGATCCCACAACAAAATGCCTCCATGTTATCCAATACATTGGCTTTTCTTAAAAAAGAAACATTTTAATTCTTTCTTCCATAGTAGATTTAGGGTAATTACGTTAGATGAAACTATTTTGATAACCATCTTTCTTGAGGACGCAGCACCTCTGTAGCTTTAAAACCTAAGTTAATTAGATATCTGATGTTAACAAAAGCTTCCATTAAAAAAAAATTCTCATAAGCTGCATCCCCCAGACTCCTGCTGTAGCAGAGGAGTCAATGCTAAGTACAGCTTTTATCATGAAACTGGCATTTTTGTATAGTTAATCATAGACGTCTGCTGCCTCTGAGATGGAGCAGGCACCCCCACTCTACCCCCAAGGATGAAAGACCCGTCAACGTGGTAAAATCCGTGTTTTTTACATGACAATTTCTGAGAGTTGAGGCTTACATACACTAAGATATTAACTTTGCTTGGCATTCAAGGGCTATCAAGTTTGTGGGGAAAGGGCATGTCTTGGAATTATAAAGGAGATAGTCTTAGTTAACTCTAAGATAAATATCCAAGTGAGCATGAAAGGATTTATTGAGTTACCTGGAAATGACCAGGCTTCTAGAAGTGTTCCTAGCAACGGATTCTCAGGAATGTGATACCTCCTGACAATAAACAAATAAAATTTAGAAGAGACTGCTTTATCATGTATAAATCCGCCCACCCCACCCCATCCCAAACAGACAAGTACATACATGCATACATGAGCACATGCACATGTGTGCACACGCACGCCTTTGACCTGCAAGCTGGGTAACACATCAGCTCTCTTCAGTTCAGAGAAAGAAAAAGTTTATAGCTGGAAAGATTGCTGGGCAGCCTTGGCTCCTGGAAAAAGGAAGAGTGGAGAATGGGAGCCATGACCACAGGGAACCTGCATCTGAGCTCATATCCACCTCTCTCAAGCTTGGTAATCTCAGGTATGCTTCCTAGTTCTTCTGAGTCTCAGGTTCCTTTAATAAGAAATGAAGATAAAGATGCTCACCTCAATTCAATTAATACATACTGATTTTTTCCAAGTGTCAGACACTTTGCTGGAGATACAATGATGGATAAGAAAAACACAATTGCCCCCCTCAGAGACAGAGGCATTTCAGGGTTGTTGCTGTGCGTATTCAGCGATATTGAGCACACATGTAGCATGGCACATGGTTGCTGAGAAAAAAATATCAGTGTGCATCTCTTCCACCTTAAGATGAGCAGTTGAACTTGAGCAAACGATAGTCTAACTACGGGAAATTTAGCAGCACCAGGCCTAGGACTGAAGGGTATTATTTTACAAAACATCAGAAGACTTTAATAGCAAACACATTGAAAAAGCCAACGGACTTTGGAATCATAGAGAGCTAGCCCAGCATCTTTGCCTTGTCCCTCACTAACTATATGTCAGTGTGTAATTTGCTTAATCTCTTTGAGGCTAGATTTGTAAACTGGAGATATTGTTAGAGATACCTACCTGAAATTGATGTTACAGGTAATAAAGGAAATATTACGCATTAAAAGCATTTGTTAAAAGGTAAAATGATATCCACATGTTAGTTATTATTGATTATTTTCATTATTATTGAGTAATCACCAGCCATGACACCACTCCCTGTGTGGTGTCTCTGGGGCTGGTGTTCTAGACTGAGGGATTGCAGCATCAACATTAACACATTTCACAGGCTCCAGAATAGCACTGATCACGGGAAAGATTTATAAATAAGTCCCCCACCTAATCAGGAGCAGATCCAAGGATTCTGACTTTCTTTTGAATAATGGCAGCAGAGACTATGGCACAGAGAGAAGGCCTGGAAATGGGCTTTCTTAAGTTCCCATGAGCAACATCAGCAGGGCTTCTGATCCATGGTAGATCCCACACTTGGTCTCTTTCTCAGTTGACTGGATCTCTCTCCGTTTCAGAGATTGAGGAGGAGAGCATATCAACAGCAGAACTGATCGCCATTCTCAGGAAAACTCACCAGCAATCATCCAGAATCCCCATGTAAGGCCAATTACTTTTGGGTCGTAGAGCCCAAGATGGGTTCCAGGATCTCACTTGAGGAAGCATCACAAAACCTGGGAAAACTTCATAATCTCCACAAACCAGCATTTTAATTCTAATAGTCTTGGAGTCCTGAGTCACTCTGGAGGGTTGGGGGTTGGCTTCAACATTTCTCCCAGGAGGCCATAGCATGTTTTTGCAAATAGACTCTCGAAGAGCATCTCAGATGTTCCAGACTTTTTCAAGGGGGTTGCAGGAATTCCCCTGTGCTGCAATAATGTAATAGAACTCACCAGGGCTTAGTCAGGCCAAACTACCATAGTTTCATGAATTCATCGTACAGTTTCATGCCGCTCCACCTTTAAACATGTTTTCCCTCTGCTTAGAGGAATTATTCCTCCCCCTGCTTTCCTGCGCTTCCCTATTCATCCTTTAAAACCTCATCTCAAAGTTCCTCTGTGAAGACATTCCTAATTTTTACCCTCCCTCTATTCCATCAACAGACTTGGCTTCAAATCTCAGGACGTGGCCCATTTAATGAGTTCTCAAGAAATGATTATTGTTTTCTCAAATTCTTGGAGTTGACCTGGTTTCTTCTCCAGCCTCTGACAGTCAGACCAAATGCAATGCAGGCGGCTAGAAATCAACTATGCAGTTGTGAAACCTGCAATTTGAAGCAAGATTCTTGATTGCTCAAATGAGAGTTATGTAAGCTTTGTTTGCATGGTGCAATGGGCAGGAGGACCTCACTGTGAGCAGAGTTTTGGAGGCTATTTCTGGTGTGACAGCACCTCTGCTTCATTTCCACCAAAACCATCATATCTCCCAGCCCCAGTAGAATTCCTGGTTCAAAGCAAGCACTCAACACAGATCTGCTGTTTCAGGGAGATGATAAAACAAGCTCAGTGAGAAGAGGATCCCACGAGGCTTTCCCAGTCTTTCTCTACAATACTTAGTGACCCATTTGCAGAAACCCATCCTGGCTGCCTGAAAGGCCATTTCCCCATCTTAAGATAGTAATCAGGACAGAGGAGGGAGGCTCATTATTGATAATGAGGCTGACTAGCAGTAGGCGTCTGGTGACAGACGCCATCACAGCTCACAGTGGTTATTATTGTTTTATCATTATTACTATCAATTTTTTTCTTTTGCTTTTTTATGGTATGAAAATTATCACTTAATATTCTTGGAAAGTCATTTTCACTCCATATTTTTTCTATTTCCTTTTTCTATTTGGATGTCCTTAAAAATTTCTACCAGGAGAAAGGGCTCAACCAAGGAAAATTAAAACTAGCATCCCTATACATCAACTCAGCCTAAAGTAGAATAAGGCAAATCCTTAGTCCTGAGATGTGGAACTTTTGACAGGCCATGTTTTTAGATCCATTTCAACCCATCTCAACGCCTCCTTTCCGAGGAGACATTTCTTTGCCCCTCAACAGAGGTGGCCTTTCCTCCTTCACATCTCGTTTTTTTCTAAATAACATTATCATAGCTGTTTATGTGGCCTAGTACTCTTAGTAAATTAAGAACTCCTTGATTTTGGAGACCATAGTAATTTTGTTTGGTGGAAAAAACAATGCTCTGGAGACAGATGTTTGGGTTTAAATTTTTCTGTCATTGGTTAAGTGTGTGACATTATATAAGTTACTCATCTTTTCTCAATTGATTTCATCATGTATGATACATGGATAATACAACCTACTTTGCAAGTTAGTTGTGATGATAGAGTAAGATACCGTGAATGAAGGGCTTGGCCATGCAGGTTAGTGCCGTGGGATCACACAGCCTCCCCACTAACTAGCTGCTCAGCCTGGTCAAGTTATTTAACCTTCTAAGCTTCAGTTTTCTCTACTGTAATATAGGAGAACCAACAGGTTCCTTCTCATAAGGTTTTGAGAGGATGGAAGGAGCTAATAGATATGAAGAGCTCAGCACAGAGCTTGACAGAGAGTGCTCAGTAAATGTCTGTTATCAGTGCTTCATTCATTTTTTATTCCCTCTCTCCACCTCAGTCTTCTGAAGCATCCTACCTGATGCCTGGCAGAGAGGCAGTAAATATTGTTGAACTAAAACCATGTTGTGTTGCGTGGCATGTCATATGACAGCTTGGATGGTCATTTCCCCTGCTTTCATGGTTGTTTCAAGGATTTCCTTGAAATAAAGTTCCATATTTAAAAGGAGAAATTCAGCTAAAATGTCAAGAATTAGCTACTTTGAGGAGAAGGGAAATAAGCTTATGATTAAATACAGAAAGGGGATAGAGAGAGAAAGAGAGAGAACAGGAATTAGAGATTAGAGGCAGGGTGACTAAATGGGATAAGACAGGGTCAGGGGACATTCTGACAGAGGAAGAACTAGGTGAAACTTGCACAGACTCCTCCTACAACCATCTAGGATCCCTAGAGGATGCTGGATGTTGGAGACAGGGTCATTGTCCCTAGATTGGTGGTGGTAGTTGGGGGATAGAAGGGAGTAGATACATTCCACACTCTTCACCTCACCAGGAAGCCCTGGCATCCAGGAATCTGTGACCAAGATGGACCCAGCCCCATAAGAACTGCTCAGAAGAAACCTGGTGAGGTCCCTGCTGGCTCCATTAGCCAGTGGCCCCAGTGACCCAGAGCATGCTTCTCCAGAAACCACGTGTCCTTCTTAGTCAGAATTGTTGCCTCTCAGAGACTTCGGGGGCCCTGGACAGGCCCCTCCACCCTTGGTCTGGCAGCAGAGCCCAATCAAAGGCAGTTGCTGGGCTGTGGGCCGTGGCAGGCTTGGCCAGGTCCTGCTGTGTCCAGTGAGTCAAGCACAACCTGCAGCCGGCAGAATGACTTAGAGCCTGGGATCTCTGCTGCAATTAGAATGTGTAATTGGAAAATCTCAGACAATCTTATTTGGGAGAATTCTTTTCACCAAAACCCAAGAAATTCTTAGAAACCTTCCAGAAATCCATGCCTGCAGCAAAGTTTTCCTTTGTCTCAGAACCGGCTCTGGAGGGAACACTGTCTTTCTTTAATTCTTTTGTTACTAGACAAAACAGAAATCTGCTCCTACCCTGGAAGGGGCTTTGAGGTCAAGGACATATGAGTTCACAAAGGAGGTTTTACTTATCAGAACATTCTACCAACAAGTTAGGTAACTGCTTTGAATCCCTCACTATACCAAATACCATTTCCTTAAGGAAGTCACAGGAGACACCATCGGTTCATTCACACATGATAGCTCCAGATTTTTGAACATTGTGGTTTTGGATAAAATGCAGTTTAGCTTTTCAAGGCTTGCTAGTACTGTAGGCCACGTTTCACTTTATTTTTCTACTTAAAAATCTTCTAAGAAAATACAGGGGCTTTGCAGTCCCTGCTTCTGAAGGATGTTCATGAAATACTGTATTTGTGGTTTGCTTATGGTGAGCAAACTTCCCTTTCACCCACAATCTCATCCTGGAGTTGGGCTTGGCTCTGCAAACTTCTACTGAACAGTAGGTCCTCCTTCTATGGCCTTGCCTCCAATGGGTCTTGACTATTCTCTCCTCTGCCACAAAAGTCCACTACGTCCCTTCTTATTTTGCTCACATTCACTTACAAGTCCCACAATGGAAACAAGCAGTTCCCAATGCTTTTTCTTACTTTTATTTTTATTTCTAATAACTTATTTCTTTTCCTGATTGAGATATAATATATATGCAATAAAGTACACAAATTTCAGGTGAATGGCTTAGTGATTTTTGCATACACACACACACACACTTGTGCAAGAATCGCTCTAATTAAGACATGGAACATTCTAGCACCAAGCTTCCTGCATGCCTCCAGCCCAGCAGCACCTTCCATCAAAGGTAATTGTTATTCTCAGTTTGGCTTTACTTGCTTTTGAGCTTCATGTGAATGGAATCATACAGCATATACAGTTTTGTGTCTGGTTTTTCAAGTTTTTCTGCTCAGAATTCACCTTCTTCTTTGACATATGATGGTCACTGAACACATATGCAGTAAAATGAATGTGTAAAGGCTCCATTTATGTAGCTGATTTTTGAAAGAACATCTATTTAAAAGAAAAGACTTTCAGGGCCAGAAACAGATGTTCTCTAATAAGAAAAGCAAAGCCATCAGCGAAACCATTTGCTAATAGGTAACTTTTTAAAAAAGAAAACTATCAAAGGCATTCCTCAGTCCTATACCTACCTCCCTGCCACCCCCAGTGAGGGAATTACATTATTTCTGCTGAGAGGTTCATATTGATCTCTCTTTTTTTTGGATTATTATTTTCAAAGAAGTGTCTGACACCACAGAAGTGCACAGCTGTGATGTGAGATGCTGGCTTTGAGTTCGTTCGTGTTGCTGTTGCCATGAGGGTGGCAGAGGGGATTCAGGTAAACCTGTTCAAGACAATGCCTACTTGTGTGTGCTTGGAGAGTTATTCAGCATTTCAGCCTCAGTTTGCTAATCCATTAAAAAAAGTTGAGTAGATTAAAGGAAATAATAGCTGTAAATGTATACTAAACTATAAAGCACAAAATAAAGATTAGTTCTATAAACTAGTTGTCATGATTAATTTTATGTATCAACTTGGCTAGGCCATAGTGCCCAGATATTTGGTCAAACATTATTCTGGATGTTTTTGTGAAGGTATTTTTAAAATAAGATGAACATTTAAATAGACAGACTTGGAATAAAGCAGATTGCCCACCATGATGTAGGTGGTCTCATCCAATCAGTTGAAGGTCTTCGTAGACCAAAGACTGACTCCAGTGAGCAAGAAGGAATTCTGCCAGCAGAATTCCTTCAGACTTGAACTGGAAATCTTCCCTGGGTCTCCAGGCTGCCAGCCTACCCTGCAAATTTTGAATTTATCAACCCAATTCCTTAAAGTAAATCTCTCTCTCTCTCTCTCTCTATACACACACACACACACACACACACACACACACACACACACACACACACATATATACGTACACACACACACATATATATATGTACATATCCTTGGCTCTGTTTCTCTGGAGAATCTAATACACTAGTTTTTCATTTAGTTTATTGATTCCGATGTCGTCTTATTTATTTTGTCTCCTTTTTTATTCAGATGCTATGGAGCTTATTGCTTCTTTTCTAAATTACTAATATATTGGGACCATATTTTCTTTTTTTCTATGGTTATTAAATTTATTTCAAGTAATAATTTTTCTTCCCATTGTTGTCTTGGCTATCTTCCATGGAGGGGTGGGTAGCTTTTTGCAGACACACATGTGTTGCACTCTGCGTTAAGTTGTTAGTGACATTACTGATGTTACTTCTTACCACCCTGTGGATTTTCATGGATGCCATGCTTGTTGATCATGTATCTAGACCTACTGGCTTGCCATTGGGCACATCACACCCCAGCACCATGTTTAAATTTCCCTAGAAGTTTCAGTAGAAACCCAGGACACCAGTTGTACTGAAACTGAGTGAACCCAGCTTTGTCTGATACCTAGAATCCTTCTTCCTTTCCACTGTACTGAACTGATAGTGTGAAAATGGGGAAATTTCCTGATATCTCTTTGGTTCTCTCCTAAGACTAAATTTCACTCCAGACTTCCTTCCTGTATTCCCTTTCTGTTTTACCTTTCTTGATCATCTCAATCTGAGGGCCCTCCCCAGCAAAGGGTGAACCCAGTCTCGTCTTACTATTCTGTAGTGCCTGTGGAAAGGTAACTGATGGGATTTGAGGGAGAAGTTTTATCTTCTTCCCTTATGGTGAAAGCCTCACCCCATACGATGGCCAGTTGTGTGTCTGTAATGACCACAAAGTAGGTCAGAGTGCTGTCAAACAAAAGGAAGTGAGGCCATTGTGGTCTGTGTTTTTGGTCATAGAAAATCTTGTAGATGTTCTTGGATAGCTTCACTGACACATAATTAAGTAAGGATTTTTAAAATTCCCATGTGATTGGATTTCTTTGCTATTGCTTTATTATTTTCATTTCATTTTGTTAAATCATGGCTTGAGAATATGATCAGAATTCCAGTTTATATTATTGAGTTCATCTCAGGCTGCTATAATCTCACTTCTTCTTTCTCCTTTTCCTCCCTCCTCATGCTTTTCTGCTTTTGAAGCAGCTATGGTGGGATCAGGGACCATTTCACAGACTTTAAATGTAGTATTTCCTGACATCTATCAAATCTATACAAACATTTTCCTTTTTTTTCTTTTCTCTCTTTCTCTCTCTCTCTCTTCTTGGTAACTGGAGGGAGTTCTCAGGTCTTTGATTCCTACATTGGCCTGATATTTACAGATTTCAGAGACACGCTGATCTAAGCCATTTGGTCAAGTATTAATGGCATGATTGGCATCATTTGTGGTGTGCCTTTGGGTGGTGACTTATCCTCTCCATACTTGACTTTTATCATTGTAAACAAGGGGCAATGAATATGCATGTTTTGATGGGGTTGTGGTGAGAATTTTAAGTAATTTTTTAATGGTTCATTACATTATTAGCTTTGAAACTGGCAGATACGTAACATATATGCTTTAGTGAATATCAAATATTTTCTTTAAAAGAAGAGAATAATGTTTATGCGGTACTTGCTGTGGTCTGAATATAGTAGGTATTCTGTAAGTGATAGCTACTATTGTGGTTATTACAAGTTTGAATCATGAGCCTATGTATGAGAAGAAATGTCTGAAACAAGCATTTAAAGGACTCCGTTCATTTACATTACATCATAGGATACCCAAAGATGCATAAATAGCAACTTCCCAGCCCAGTGAGCTTAGAGTTTAGCTGTGGCAGCACAGAAACACAGCTAGCAAACCAAGGCATCTCCAGTCTGTATCCTAGACTATTGCTTCCAAAACCCTTATGCCATAGTACACGAAGAAAATAAGAGCATTTGTCCAGTATAATAGAGCAGGTGGGAGGGGACCTGGGAGGTGTCTGTCTATATGGGCTTGATTTTTTTTAATCACGATTTTTTTATCTTATGTAATTACAACAAAACAGAGTGTCTTAAAATTTTTATTAAATGTTAACTTTATATAAAACTTCCAAATAAATGGTTTTAAATTTTTCCATGACAAATTAAGCTTGCTTTTATTAATATAAATTTTTAAAATATTATTCTTTCTGCTTGAAATGACTGCAAACAATCTCTGACCATGATATTTTAATGATGGTATCTTCAAATTCTTAATCCTATTCCAGAAACCTTTCACACGCAGATGATTACAATTTTTAAACATTTTTATAAAAATTCAAAATTTTCTACAGTTGAAATTATATTTTAAAAATCTGAGAGCACTTCCTTTTTATCAGTAAATATTGGATTGTTTGTAAAAATAAGAATGGATTTCAAATCCAACTGAACTTTTTAAGGTAAAGGTTTCAGAATAATGATGATGCTCTAATTTGTATGATATACATTCTTAGAGAAGACACTGTTTAGCCAGCTAGTAAACCACTAAAAATCTCATCAGCCACAAGTGAAGAGAGATATCCAGTATATGTGAAAGGAGAACTTGGGGCTGCTACTTGGAGCTCCATCCAACACGATCCACAGTTGGGCCTCCTCAGTTCTTCTCTGCCTGATCGACCACACCTGAGGCTATTCCCCAGCTCCTTGAGCATCTAGAAAGGCAACTCCTCCAGCAGCTAGCTCCATGTATCCTTACCCATGGGACAGTCATCTCACACATCCAAGGCTGGGGAATGAACATAACCCACAGCCCCATGTGTTTGCACATGGCAGATGGGTCATTACAAGTTACGGTGGTAAGGATTGTTGTAGTGCCTTTGATTATGTATGTCTTTACCTGCACAATGGATTACAATTTCATGAAGTTGGGACATACCTAAATAAGTGTGCCATACATAAGCGTACCTGCCGTTTATATACGTGAAGTAGTAGGAGATATGTTTTCAAACTATTGATATGGAGGCCAGAACTTGAAGATTGGTGGTGAGGGAGGTGACTTAAGAGTATCAATTTGAAACTGCTTATTCTACAAATGATCTCTCATTTGGGATGTGATCCAGAGTCAAAAGGGGGGGCTTACTTCTGGTCAAATAGAGAATTTAGGTGTATCTATGTAAACCCCCACCTTCTTCCAATGCGAATAAGTCAGATCCCATGACCTCCAATGGTAGTTGGAGCCCCCCCACCCCCCCGCCCCCCGCCGCGAGAACCAGTGCAGCCTGACAGCACATTCTTCTGGGGACCCAGGCTCCTCGCCCTTTTGTCCTGTGTCATGTTCTCATCAATCATCATTTTTGGTCCTTCATTTCTATTTCTTTAGAATTTAGAATGAATTCTCCAATTTAAATTCTTTAGAATTTAGGACTAACAATGTTGGCATTTTAGAGAAGGAACTAGACTTTCCTTTGGAGTAAAACAAGTATACTATTTGGTAAAACAAAAATCAAGGGCTGAGCTATTTGGGGGGAGACAGGCCCTACTCTGAAGTCTCAGGTTTAGATTAAGGTTATATTTTCTCTGGAGGAGTGGGCAAAGCCCCCTCATATACTTTCTTCACTTGAAGGATGTATTTTTTTGTTACCGTCCAAGACTCTTGAATGGATTCAATATAGATTTCCTTGGAGAGAGAATATAGCTTAGTAGTTAGGAAGTGGAATGTAGGTTCAAATAGTCTGGCTTTAAATCCCCGCTTCACCATATCTTAAATGACCCTGGGAAAGTAACTTAATCTCTGGGTCTCAGTCTTATCATCTATAAAATGGAAACAACTCGCGTTTGTCCTTTACTCTGTATCATAGTATTTCAACTTTGGCACCATTGACATTTGGGGACAGATAATTCCTTGCTGCACAGGGACTGACCTGTGCATTGTAGAACATATGGCATCTCAGCCTCCACACACTAGAAGCAGTAGTCCTGCATCCCCCAGTTGTGAGAATTTAAACTGTTTTTAGACACGTTGCTAAATGTTTCCTGGGAGGCAAAATTGCCCCTGGTTGAGAACTGCTACTCTAAATAGTAAATGAGAAACTTATAAAGCACATGCATAGCACATAGCATTGTGGTTATGACCTGTGTTCAAATCCATCTCCTTCATTTGCAAGTTAGATTACCTCAGAAAAGCCACTTAATCTCTCTAAGCATCATTTCTTCATTACAAAATGGGTTTCATCAGCCCTACTGGGTCTATCTCATTGAACAATTGAAAAAAATCAAAGGAAGTCTCTATTATAAAAATGCCATGTAAGCCATTGAGAACTATCTGTTATGACACATTGTTACTGCCTGGTGAATAGTTTGGTAGTGAGGCTGCATGGCTAGACCTCCCCTCCCATGTTCAAAGTGATTTGCAACATCGAAGTGCTCAATACATTTTAGCTTCTGTTGTTATTGTCTCCATTCTACAGTGAAGAACCTGAGACTTGGGGAGATAAAGGAACTTGCCCAATATTGCACAGCATGGTGCACGGAGACGGAATTTAATTCAGACCATGTAATTCCAAAGTTGGTGCTATGTTCAATACATTCTTGTTTCCCAGTGAACACGAGTGCCATTATTAGAAATGAAAGCAGCACCTTCTGTTAGCAAAGGCAGTCGCCATTTATAAAAAGATGTCTGTCTTTTGGTGAGGGTTGGAAAAAGCACTACGGGACAACTGAGAATAAGATAATTTAGATATTTTTCTCCTGATTTTAATTCAGAAAAGAGGTATCCTTAGGGACTTGCAGATAGTTGAAAATGAAAGGGCAGAGCCAACCCCACCTCCATGCTATGAATCATTCATTCACTTAACGGGTTGAGTTGTACCTTCCACATCTGAGCTATTTTAGTTTTAAGTTTGCAAGCCTTGGTTATTCTAGCTTCCTAGGGAAAATCCCTCTGGTGCTTGCAGCCTCACTGGAGCCCTGGCTGTCATTGTGAACACCAGCAGTCAGAAGGTAAATACCGAGGATACTGCTCCTCTTAGCTGACTACCCTAAAGGCAAGTTCCTGATCCCTAAAATTCTATGGTCTGAGCTCAATAGCAACCATCTCACCCACTGCTTCCAAATGTACTCAGTTCAGTTGCTGTCTAGAGAGAATTTCTCCCTCTGGGTCTTGCCTGGCTTTGGAAATTGCATTGAGCCAAGGGTGGCTTGTTGAACTCCTAATCTGGAGCTACATGATAATTGGAAGAGCAGCCTGCCCACGGTGTCGCATTACATCCAACCATGCACCTCTTCTCTCCTAAGTGCCCTCGGGACACGGAATTCCAGGATTCCAGGTAGCTGAGGGGGAATGCAGCACATGAAGCTCAGCAGCAGCCAGAAGATAAGCAGTTTCAAACTGATACTCTTTAAGTCCCCTCCTTAACTACCAATCTCAGTTCCAGCAGAGATGCAGCCACACGGAAAAAGAGAAATGTTTAGTTAGCTTGGGTACAGTGCCCTCCAGGAGGATGGATGCTTGACAAAGTCCCAAGTCCAAAGCATCAGCCTTGGAGTTGAGCTGTACTAGCTGTCTGACCTTCTACTAATCCTTAGGAAAAATTAGGTTTTTCATTTTCTTTTTTTCCAGATGATGAAACGTCTTCAAAAAGAAGAGTAATTTAACCTCCAACTCTCTGTACAATCAGGTAATACTATTGTACTCAGTTGAGGTGAGAGGCATGGTGCATTACCCAGCACATGGCGGGGCACAGTAAGTGTTTGTTTGGCTTTTTTTCTTTTCTCTCTCTCTCTCTGTGTGTGTTTTTTTTTGTTTTGTTTTGTTGTTTTTTTGTTTTTTTTTTTTTTTTGACAGGGTCTTGCTGTCTCACTCAGGCTGGAATGTAGTGGTATGAGCAAGCTTACTGCAGCTTCAGTAGATCGAAGGTGCTGCCCACCACCACACCCAGCTAATTGTTTTGATTTTTAGTAGAGATGAGGTCTCACTACATTGCCCAGGCTGGTATTGAACATCTGAGCTCAAGTAATCCTCCCACCTCAGCCTCCCAAAGTATCTGAATTACAGGTGAGCCACTGTGCCTGGTCAGCAGGTGGTGTTTTGAGTCCTTCCTATAATAACTCTTTGTTGAGCACCAACTACATGCTATTGTCCTGGGCCCGGCCCCAAGATGGTCATTACTGTGCACATTGTAATGCAGCAAGTATGGAATTTGCAACCAACACCCAGATCTTCCGATAAGTTCCTCCTCTTACCAGCATGCAATCCTAGGCAAGTCATTTTCCTTCTCTGCATCTCCATCTCCTTACCTGAAACAAGCAGAGAAGATTTACAACACTCATTGAGATTATACACCTCATGCAGTCCTGGCACAAGATAGGAATTAATGTATTCATTATTTCCTTCTTCCTTTCCACATGTCTGCATCAGTTATGTGTGCTAAGTACTCCACACAGCTCAGAGATGGGAACTTTTGAAACTCTTCTGATCTAGTGCAAATGTTCTGGGGATGGCGAGGATCTGGAGAAGTCCGGACACAGAGTAAATCAGGTTGGAGAGAGATTTTTTTAAAGACATTGCAATTGCTTAGGTGAGGAAGACAGAAGACTTCAGAGGAATCGAAGATGACTCCTAGGTTTCTGGCTCGAACAACTAGGAAGAGGTTGGTGTCAAATGCTAGGGAAGAATTCTCTTTACCTCCTGTCTTAGTCAGTTTGGGCTGCTGTAAAAAATGCTGTCAAAATTTATTTTCTCACAGTTCTGGAGCTTGAAAGTCCATCAAGGTGTCAACATTATTGGTTTCTGGGTGAGGGCTCTCCTGGCTTGCAGACAGCCACCTGCTCCCTGTGTGCTCACATAGCCTTTCCTTGGCGCTTACACCTGGGAGAGAGTGAGGAAACTCTCTGGTGTCTCTTATTAAAAGAGCTTTAATTCCATTGGACCAGGACCCCACCGTCATGACCTCGTCTCATCCTAATCACCTTCAAAGGCTGTGTCTCCAAATACCATCAACTGGGGATTAGAGCTTCCACAAATGAATTTTGAGAGAACACAAACATTTGATTCATAACACCTCCGTATTAATAAGAGAGAAATAATGATGACGCGTATCCTAGTCATCTTCCTATTCCAATGGCTTTGAGCCTCTTTGATTATTTCAGGAGGTGGCTTGCAAGCACATCTGTCTACATTCGTTTTTCTTCCATAAGAAAGATAAAGGGGAAGAGGAGCCTCGGTAGGTGAGTTAGGGCTAAGCTATGAGTTCATAGTGAAGACTTTTGTGACACAAGCATAAAAAACTAGGTTCCTAAGGACCCAGTCAATGTGAGGCTTTGAACTAGAAACTGGGATGTCCGCTGAGTCAGAGGCACCCTTACCCTCAAGGATCTCACGACTTTGTAAATACATGGAGGATTTTCTCAGGAAGTTAGCTGTTTGGACTCTCGTCTCAGGTCATGAACATCTTGCCTCTGAATATGAAGGTCCTTAAGTGTGACTCCATCACTTTCCTGTCCAGGACTTCCTCAGGCAGGGGATGGTCTGCTTACCTGACCCCTAAGTGGCTTGTTAGGATGAATCATGTTCCAGTTCTCTAAGAGGGTTTATGTGTTGGAAAGAATATTCTCTTTGATCTCATGGCTTAGAGTGCATAGGCTTTGTCCAGTTAATCATGTAGCTGGCGTCAGGCTTTGCCAGTTTTTATTTCTTTGAGGCTTTATGGCATTTAAAGGGTTGGAGACTGGCCCTGTAGCGAACATGGTTTTGACTTCAACAGCAACTGAACCTTTTCTCCAGCTCTTTGATAATAATTGATTAGTCTAGAAGTCCAAGCAAAGGTGGGACTTTCTAAAGTGCCTCAGATCTAAGGGGTGATTGAAGGGGTGAGTCTTTAATAAGGACGCACTCTCTCCTCTCCTCTCCTGAGTCATTCCCACATGGTTAAAAGAGCTCTCCCAATAAATTTGATTTTGCCTTAGTGCTTTCCATTTACAAAGTACATTCATTCCACTATCAATTTAACCTCTCAAATCAGCCTTGAGAGGTAGAAAGAGCAAGGCAAATGGGCTTAATTTTGCAACAGAGAAATTCTAACACTCATTAAATGATTTGCTCAATGTCTCATGGGGTACGAGTTGTGAGAGGAGCTAACATTTATTGAGGGTCTGCTATGTGACAGTTTCCTTGTAAACCCTAACTTATATAGTCTACAACTAACCCTGGGTGGGGGGTAGATATTATTGTGCCCAGTTGAAAGATGAAGACACTGAGTCATGAGACATTTAAAGAGCTATTTCAAAGCCTCCCAGCCCTTAGATATTAAGCCAACATTGACTTTCTAGTCTTCTGAGAGTCAGTCTGTTATGCTGTTTAAACTCCTCATGCCTGACTGTAAGAAGATAATAGTACACTATTTATGCTTAGTCAAATCTGGGGTAAGAAGTGCCGTAAAAGGAAAAGAGGCCCATTTTCCCTCTTTACAGAGAGATTTGGAAATTTGCTTTCCTTTACATATGAAATGAAAGAAGACGCAGAGACATGGACCAGCTGCTGCGTGTGCTTCTCTCTGAAGTCTGAGCCGAGATTCCCTAAGCTTGACTGCATCGCTTAAGACCACAGGCCAGGGCAGCAGCCCTTCTGCGAAAAAAGCCACCTTTTAACCGGCTTGTTCGTTTTCTTCTTCTTGCACACTCTGTGGTCTGGCAAGGAGCAGGGGGGCCTCAATAGCAAAGCCCTCACAACAGCAATCCTTCTCAGTTCCCACTCTGAGTGAACCCGGTTCAACTTCTCGGGCTAACAGAGATTTTAATCGAAATGAACTGACAGAGAATTTGCTAAGTCCAAGAACACACAGTCTCGAGGTGACTGGACAGGAACAGAAGCCTCTAAAAGCTGAAAGAATGAGGCAAAGGCTTTCCCCTCGGCAGACTCTGGCCTCCCTTCTTGACACTTCCTCTTGGGCTCTGTGAGTGTTTGCCCAGGGTTATTGGCGATGTCATTGGGTGTCAGCTGATCGACAGCGAAAGGGAGAGGAGCTAGAGCTACTGCAGGCCAGGAGCACACACGCTGGATCTCATCTCATCTCCATCTAACTCCTATGTGAAGTGGGCTGTTGGAACCCCTTTCCCACATTTGAGGAAACTGAGGCTCTAAAACGTGCAGTACGTCGTCTAAGGTAACTGGCTAAACTTGCATTTGAACCTGAATCTGTTTAGCTGCCAAACCTGTGCTCCTCCTACCACCCCACACTGTCCATAGACACACACATAGCACTTTCTAAGGCTCCAAATACTTATCCCATTCTACTATCAGGCAGGGCCATTTAGATCCAAATCCTTTTTCTCCAATAGAAATGAGCTGTTTAAAGGCAATGACCTTCTTGCTCAACCCTTCATCCTTCACCAGACCCATCAAGAGGGCTTGCAAATAGTAGGTGCCCAATAATTGCTCATTTTTACTAAATTCAACATGTAAATGCACACGTACCCTGTAGTTGGTTCTGCCCAAAGACCAAACCCACTGGCTGTGGGTAGCACTTTGTTTTACCCCAAGCTGTCTGATTCCCCACAGGATAGGCAGTGGGTAGATTTTCTACCTATCCTCTTGCGTAGTGGGACTATCATTTAAGCAGCGAACTTTTCCATTCTAACGAAGCTCTAATCAGAGGTGGAAAGGGAAGCTTGGTTATCTGGGGCAGGTTATATAGATCAGTGATTCTTTGGACTCCACAAATTCCCAAATCCACGTTTCAGGTTCTGTTTTCAATCTTCAAGCATTGTAGGCATCTCCCGGGGACTATGAGAAGAATGCTCTAATTTCAGGACAGAGTGGAGCCTAGAGCCAACTTGGCAAGGGCCAGAGGAATATAAATTCAGAGTGACAACTTAAGGAACATGGTTTTAATAGAAACATACTTTTATTTCTTCTCCGATCACATGCTGACTGTCTGTTTGCATAGGGAGCCCCAGGCTCAAATGAAAGTTGTCAGAATTGGTAATTGAGGGGCTCTGCTTTTCCCCCAAAAGCTCCCTGGTCCTCCAGATGACAACTGTGAGAGATTGCTTGGATGCTTGGGGACTTTGTGAAGTCAACATTATACAGCAGCCAGAGCAAATGTAGGTATGATTTGCTATATGCCATGGGGGGGAATTCTGGCACAATTCATTGAAGAAAATGTTAAGAAATCCCTGGACTGTTGGGCACATAAGAAGTGGCAAGGTTTCAAAGGTGAGTAAGACATCTTCTCAAGGAGCTTGTTCGATGGAGAATACAGAGGTGTGAAGACCGTACTTAAAGTTGGTTAAGGGTACAAAATACATTAGTTAGAAGGAATAAGTTCTAGTATTTGATACTACAATAGGAAAATTAAAGTTAACAATAATTTATTATATATTTCAAAATAACTAAGAGAGAAGAATTGTAATGGTCCCAACACGAAGAAAAGATAGATGTTTAAGGTGACGGATATCCCAGTTACCTTGATTTGACTGTTAAACATTGGATACATGTATTGATATATCACATGTATCCCCAAAATATGTATACCTATGATGTATTAATTTTTTAAAGCCCCATAATTGTAATTCTTAGATATTGTAATAAGAGAGTAAAGACAAATAATGAACTCAATTTAGTAAAAACCAAATACAATAATAACATAAGATGTGATATGTTTTCAAACTGTTCTCAGGCAATTGGTCCAACTTCTCATTTTAACACTTGTATGTACTATGCACTCCTTAAGGTTTGGGGAGAAGTCCTTGTAGAAATGTCATTGAATTTTTATTGGAATAAGATAAAGGAAAAGAAAAATAAAAGTTAAAATTAGAGTGGTGTATTAGAAAGTCAGGTACTTTTGTGTGTGTGAAACAGCCTAAGGATTAAGAACAAAGGCTCTGGAGCCAGGCTACTGGGTTCAGATTCTAGTTTTCCCACTTACTGTGTGACTTTAACCAATTGCTTAGCTTCTCTGTGTCTCAGTCTCCTCATCTGTGAAAAGGAGAAAATGATGGTGTCTGCCTCATAGGTTACTGTGAGGAGGAAATAAGTTAATAAAAGTAAAGTGCTCCTAAATGCTATGTGGAACCTAGATTGGATCTTGGAACCAAAAGAGAACATTGATGAAAAACTCATAAATTCCAAATAAAACATAGAACTTAATTAATTTTTTAAAATAATGATCTTGCATTAGAAATATTGTCTGTGTCACAAAATAATACATCACTGGGTATGAGATGGGAGGTGGAGAGAAGTCAGCTCCATAGAGAATGCCTAGAAAGGCTGACGAAGAGTTTGCTGGGTGAACACAGGAAGATGGAGGCCTAAAAAAAAGAATGGAGTGTTTAGGGAATTAACGTGACATAATTTGGCTGGGGCCAAGGTTGTATTTCCAGATGTGAAGGAGAAGCAGGAGATGTCCTCGGAGAATTAGATGGAGTTTAGATGATGCATGGCTTTGTACTCTACACCAAGCTCAAACTGTCGCCTGTGGCAACCACATTGGAGTGATATAGTCAGAGGTACACAGCAGAACAGTGTCCTTGGCTGCAGCATGATGGGTGAAAGAGACTGGGATCCAGGAGACAGAAAGACCAGGAATAAAGCTGATATGGTCATTCAGGCGGGAAGTGATCAGTGCCTGACCAGGACAGGACAGCAGGGCTGAAGAAACAGGAAGGATGAGGCAGAGACCTAAGAGGCATCCTTGGGAGATCGCTGTGATGTTACCCTGCAAGGAAGTCACCAATTGCCTGTCAGAGACCTTTCCAGGGTACCAGGGCCTCGGGATGAATTACTCCCCTTACTTTGAGATGCTTTAGTAAAGAGAGATGCAGAGTTTCAGGAAGAAATGGATCCTCATGTACTTATAGGGGTTTACTCTTTACAGGGCTCCTTCATGTGCGTGATCTTGTTGGTTGTTACAACAGTCCTGAGAGGCACACATTATCATTATTCAAAACTGTGCTTTTGTTTTACTGATTATAGATATTATAGAAACAATCATTGTAGAATGCTTGAAATACTTTTAAAAAAGGAGTAGAAAATTAGAATTGCCCTGATACCCTGATTGATAATTACTGTTAATATGTTGATAAACCAGTTGCTTATAGCAGCTAGCAAGTGAAAAAATGCAAAATTATATTTCAAAACCAATTACATAGTAACAGGTTATATGTTTTAGCATTTTCTATAGTTACAAAATTGGGATTGAAATACAAGTGCTTTATATTCCTGTTTCTGTTTTAGCATTAGATTATAAGCATTTTCTGTGTTAATAAATCCAATTTGCAAGCCCAATTTTCATTGCTGCATAATATTCCTATGTAAAGGTGTGCTATACTTTAGTAATACTATTATCTACTGATAGATATTGATGGACATTAAGTTATTTCCAGTTTTTGCACTCATAAATAATGCCTTCCTGAATATACTTTAACATGTGTTTCCCCCATGTGTTTCTAATTACTTCCTTACAATAAATTCCTGGAAGCAAAATTTCCAGGTCAAAAGATATGCACATTTTAAAACTTGATGTTTCCTGAAATTATTTATTCCAAATGACCATGCCTACTCACAGTGAATGAGCCAACCTGTATTACCCATCTTCATCAGTACTGAACATTATTTTTCAAAAAAATATTTGTCAATCTGATCAGCATAAAACTGTGTCTCATTATTGGGTTAATTTGTATGTCCTCATCACTGGAGTGGTGTAATTATCATACTCATTTTATAGATGTGGGTTAGTGATTTGCCCATACCACAAATTCAGCAGGTGGCTGAGAGTGGACTGCAAGCCAGCCCAAGTGGACTCCTCGGGCAGTGCTGTTCCCACTATGTAATATGTAAAGAGTTGCCTTGATTTCTCTGTGTTTACAGCATTGTTCTCTGGGTTCCCTTTCACTGGGGTCACACCCTCAGGGACTCACTGCCCTAGGTGTCAAGGAAAGAGTGTACCCTTCCTCCTGAGAGACAGCAGTTCCTTCAGCTTCTCAGAGGACCTGGCAGTGGGGAGAGTTCATGCTGTGCTCTGGGTGGAGGCCATGGGTATGGCATGTGCTTGGGTGGCTGGTCCTTCCCCACAGAACCCCAGATGGAAAAGGGACACAATAAGGAAATAAACCCTGTGTTCTTCCTAGAAGGAAAGCCTGGCCTGTCACTTTTCTGCTGAAAACCTTATCATGGTCTCCTTGCCAATATCAGGATCTGGTCTAGGCTCTGTCTTCTGGCACTTAAGGCCCCGAGAACCTGACCTGACCTATATCACCTTAGTGTCCATGTGATGGTCTCTCATGCCAGTCTTGCTGGCTTACATTGCATTTTTTCCTAGGATCTACCTATTTCTTGTCTTTCAGGCCTCAGCTTCAAAGACACCTTCAAGAACCTGTCTTTTCCATGCTCTGAGCATGCCCATGTAAAATCCTCACCTTGGGTAAGATTGCCTCTTTGTGTGGCTGCCTCTCTTCTCAAGGGAAGGGGACTTGTTTTCCTTTTCCCTGAGCCCTGGCAGGGAGGTTGCACACTTGAAAGGTTCCTAGACTGAATCAATGTTAGAAGTCCCATAGAAAACCTACAGGATTCTATCTCAGGTTGACCACAGAGTCCTTCATTCACACAAGAAGTACTAGTTGAAGGACTGCAATGAGCCAGGTACCGTTAGGCACAAGCAATGGAATAGGCACTCCCCATTTCAGTACTTCAGTGCTCATATCTCCAGCAGCTGCAAATGTTGGTGGTTCTCAGCTGGGTTCCTCTCTGGAAATGTCTTCAGTGGAAGAGAACACCTAGCTCAAGGTTTTACCTCTCTACATGGGCAGCCTTCCTCGAAGACAGGTTGTTGGGAAGGTGTTGGTAGAAGCTTGACTCTCTTGTCTTAATTTGGAGCAACTCTGAAGGGCCTTCCCCAGCTCTAGACCTCTCCACAGGACCAGCTGAGTTATTTGTGGACAGTGCGTTGCAGCTGGAATTCTCTATCTGCCCAATCCTGTTCCTCCCACCTTCCCATTGGAGTTGATCCCAAAGACCCTCCCCAGTAAACTTCTTGTGTGCAAATTTCCATGCCGGAGCCTGATTGCTGAGGAACCCAGCCTGACATGATGGTAATAAGAGATATGATACCTGTTATCATAGAGCTTTTGGGCCAGCTTTGTCCATCATAACTACCTTTGTTTGTCCCCTAGGACAAGCAAAAACTATCCAGGCCCAACAGGGCTCTGCTCATGGTGACACTTGGCAGTGTCCTGAGCAAAGACCTTTGTAGCTACACCACTCCATGCAGCCATCATTAAGGCAAGAGCAGAAGAGCAGAACCAGCTTTGCAGCTGGCAATCACTCATATTAGTTCCATAAACCTGTTATTGAGTGTCTTCTGTCTCCCTGTGCTGGTGCCAGAGATAGAGATACCTAAGATATGGCTCTGGATTTCCAGGACCATCTCATGGAGGGGAAAATGAACAAGTAATCAGACAATTGAAAACGTATGGGACAATTCAAGATCTGCAAAGTGCTATGGAAGCTCAGAGGAGATGGTGGTGGCTTACTCAGGGGGTCAGGGAAGGATTCTCAGAGAGGCAGAGGAAGGAGAACATGGTGAGGGCGGTATTCATGGGAAAGAGAAGAGAATAGGTATTTCAGATTGAAGAAATGTGTACATGAAAGAATGAATAGGGGTGAGTGAACAAGCACATTTGTATCCGTTACTTTATTTGTGCTCTGCAACACCCTAATGAAGTTGTCTGCAAACATCCTTATCCCCATTTTTTGAACAGAGAAACTGAGGCCCTGGGAGGATAAACAACTTGTGTGCAGGAAGGGGGTTATCTGTGACCTGAACCTGTATCTTCTGACACCAAATCAGTGGCTCTGTCTGTCACACCATTCAGCCAACATTGACTGAGTTTTTCTCCAATACCCAGCATGGTGCCCAATGAGGACTAAAAGAAGCATAATATCAATGGTCAGCTCTTGAAGAGCTTGGATTCAAGATAAAATTTAAAAAGTTGATAATGTCAAGGGACAAATGCTGAAATGAAGGCCTAAGCAAATGCCCTGGAATCATGGCAGAGGTATGTCCCCCAAAAATGTCCTTAGCCCTGTTTAATATTTGGTACCAATTATTTAGACAAAGACATATAAAGTCTGCTTATCACATCTGTGGTTGACACATAGCTGGGAGGGATAGAAAATATGATTGATGTCACAATCAAACTTTTAAATGATCTCAGTTGTCTGGAACCATGAACCAAACACTGCAAGATGAAGTGCAGGAAGGGTTCACATTGGACCAGCACTTTCTTCCAAATAATCAATTGCTTGAGAATAGGGGGAGCCTGGCTTGGCCTCTGGCCATAAGAGAGATTAGAGACTTCACTAGGCCTCAAGCCAAACTTGCACCAAGTATTTAAATTAAAAGTGTCTTGAACTCCTGACCTCATGATCCACCCACCTTGACCTCCCAAAGTGCTGGGATTACAGGCATGAGCCACCGAGCCTGGCCAAGATGGTGAAAACCCTGTCTCTACTAAAACTACAAAAATTAGCCAGGCGCATTGGCAGGCACCTGCAATCCCAGCTACTCTGGAGGCCGAGGCAGAGAATCACTTGAACCCGGCGGCAGAGGTTGCAGTGAGCCGAGATCGTGCCACTGCACTCCAGCCTGGGTGACAGAGTGAGACTCTGTCTCAAAAAAAAAAAAAAAAAAAAGTGTCACAAACTGGCATACCCTGAGTCTGTGTGGCAATTATATTCATAGTCATTGCATACATTTAATGGGACATTTTATGAATTACCTTCGAGATGGTTTAATGGGACATTTTGTGAGTCATGTTGGAGATGGAGTGGTGCTGGAGGGACAGCATCTTCAGATGACAGAGGAAGATGCTTATAAATCTCTTTATCCAGGCAGTTCTCTCAGTGCACCTACCACATGCCAGGCCTGTGCCAGGTCTTGGACAACATGGAATATCAGCCTAGGAAGCCCCAGGACCTTGCAGAAGGACTTATGCATAAACTCTTGTGTGCCTCTGGGAAAGTCATGGAGGCTTGCTAGGCATCATTTTCCTTATTTATAAAATGGATGCTATAATTTGCATCTCATAGGACCTTGTGAGTAATAATGAATGAGATCATGAATGTAGAATGATGAACACAGAGCTTGGGCTGAAGCTTGTATTTAAAAAGGGTGCTTACTGTTAATATCCAGACAAATCTGGAGACATCTATAAATAGGCAGCAGGGTCGCAGGACCTGTGGACTTGGATTTAGGGTCAGGCCTTCAGTCTTCAGGTGGGTTCAGGAAAGGCTGATTTTTCTCTCTATGAATGTGTGTGTGTGTGAAAAATTTCAAGCTCAAGAAAAGACACAGCTTCAGTGTACTTGGGGCATTAATCAGATTCGAGAGACAGTCATCCACTTAACCAGAATGACACCCAATAGTGGGCATAAATTCTCGGGTATCAGGAAGTTGCCCACAGTATCTGAATTAGGGCAAAAAGTCAAAGCTATCTTGGCAGCAAAAAAGATGAGACTGATTTCCACAGTTCTGGCTGGGGTTCCCTTAATCCACTTTCCTTCAGGATAGGTTGGTCTCTGGGCCTCTGAGTTTCTTCATTTGCAAAATGAGAGGGCTGGACCAGATTAGTGGTTCTCAAATATACAGTCTTGGAGAGGTGCTGGCCTATGTTGGAGTCAAATCCATGACATCCCGCTCAGATAACTTCCTGACTGTTCTATGTTGGGATACTAGGGAGAAAAATTGCTCCTTGCTGTGAATAGCCACATAGAAAAAAACACTGGCATGTCCTTTCCTGCCACCCTCTCCAGCCAGACTTGGGCTACCTTAGTGAACTTTCTTTTCAGCTTTGGGCCAAGAAAGGGATGAACACTGCTAGAGATATGGTGGAGTTACTCATCCACTTCTCTGAAGTGCCCAGAATATTATGAATTCAAGGAAGTAGTGACAGTGTGTGCTTTTCATTTTTATCTATAAATGTCTTTGAAATTTGATTTTTGATGACAGTATTAAAAATGAAGTGACCACACTATTTGGAGACTCAGGTTCACTCTATTTTACTATATTGCATAGGTACTCTCCTACCTGACAACCTCTGTCAAGAAAAATATTATCTACAGCATAATTCATAAAATAACATTTTACATTCTATTTTTAATTTTAAAATGTAAAAAGCCTATCTTTTAAAAAGAGTGTTAGATTGCCAAGATATTTTTTTTCTTCCTGAGGTTATGCCTTTTGTTTTTGAGGGGTAGGCTGTTAAAATTCTCATTCTTTTATGAAGTGATGATGACAATTGATGGAACCAGATTTTATTATTTTTAAAATTATACTACTTGGAATAAAGTAATAAAAAGTTACTCAGGATTGCTTTCCTCTTTTAAAAAAAAACTTCCTTGGCCCATGAAATACCAAAAAAAAAAAAAAACTTGAAGAAAAATTTAAGAAGAATTTATTAATTATATCCCTAATGTAAAGAGGCAGATTCACCAATGTAGCTTGGGAGGGCAGTCTTAGTTCTTCAGATACCTATGTTGAATTGAACTCTGTGTCTAGTAACAGGCTTAAGTAGACTAGGGGGTATATAAAAGGACAATCCCTGGCATCACACTTGGAGGATGAGACCAGGGCTAAAATAATTTGATGTCTAGACAAGCCGTTGGTGCTGGCTATCTGGTAATTATAGATTTATATCAAACAGCTTAGCTTGGCATTCAGGTCTCTTTGTGATCTTATTTCCACCTGCCATTAGAACCTTATTTGTCGTCTTTTTCAGAATCCCTTGGGTCCTTAAACTCTGTGCCCAGGACATCCCTGGCAGCCTGGAAAAAGTATGGATCTCTTCTGAAAGTAAGGACTTGAAATCATTAAAAAAATACATAGTATTGCAAAGGAAAACAATGATGTTAAGAGACGGTTATCAAAATAACTGAAAGTGTGATACGGTTATTAACATGCTTCTTTAGTAACACATCAAAAAACAAGCTCTAGCATCAGGTCTGATGCCATTGGAATTTTGAAGTTATAATGAGTGTAAGTGCTATTCTAAGATATCTTCAACAAAAGTGATGTGTTATAAAAATATCTGTGATTTCTACTGATACAAGGTCAAGGTGCTATTAATACTACTATGGTTTGTTGTCTGCATGCATACTTGAAGAAAATGCTAGATTTCAGTGTGAATTCAGTGAGGATTTTGTTTTCTTTTTAATTTGCCATCTCTGAATTCTATCCACTGACCTTTTCAGGGATCCCTGCACCCCAGTTTAAGAACCCCTGCTAGTCAAACTTATGCTAGTTTTTCTAAATATTCCTGATGTTTTCTTGCCCAAGTTTATTATGGTTTTTTTCCCCAATCTGGAATAGTCTCAGAGCCCTGTTCTTATAAATGCAAATTCTACCCATCCAGCTATCACCTCTTCCAAGTTTTCTTTGAGTTTTCTATGGCATAATCATCTCTCTATTATCCAAGGTTCCACAGCCCTGCATCAGTCATTTCTGATAGCCCTTGTATCTATTGTACAGGGGTGATATGCAAATTAATCCTCATGCTATCCTTGTATTATCTACTCCATTCTATAAATTTATTGGAGATCACATCTGTACTGATTCCTATCTCTTTCTCTTGACGTGTTTTCAGATACAGGTGTTGGCCCTGACCACCACACCCGTGTATTCAGAATTAACCAGGTTTCATTTCCCTCAATATAGGGCTCATAAAATGTCACTAGACTCCCTAAATAGCTCATGCCAAATATAAATAACCACTACTCCCTAAATCTGCTTCCTTAACCTGAGTACTCCTGCCTCCTTCACTTAACCCACTCTGTTCCTTCCAGCTAGAATGTTCGCCTCCCAACCCATGTATGCCCGTAAAAATCTTACATGGCCTTAAAGATCAATTTGAAATGTCACTGTCAAAAGAAGACTTCTCTGCTCTCTCTTCCCAACTGAGTATGAGCTGTAAGTCCACATAGCACATTGCCATCCCTTAGCATCACATTCTGCCTTATTTTGTACTTGTCTGTGAATTTCTTTCTTCTCTTCCCATTAGACAAACAGCTGCATAAGAATAGGAACTAATGATTTTCTCTCTTCCTTTTGGTTCTAGCATAGCTAATAAATATGAAATGGAACACTTCTCTCTAGTTCATCTGACTGAAACAACCCACACAAAATTTCTTGGTCTTAAATTTGAGCAGGAAACCTCAAAAAAAAAAAATCAAATGTCACCTCCTACTTCCTGTCTCCCTACTTTGGGCTCAGGACAAGCCTGAAATGGCCCTGTCAAAGTTGGTTTTCTTTGGCCGAAGCCATAACAAGACTTGAGGTGTGCGTGGGAAGAAAAAAATAAAATCAAGTTTTCAAATCTGAAAAATAATTAGTCTTGGCATGGGTTTTTCTAAGGCCTGCAATGAAGACATGCTTGTCCTCATTTTATTTGCTAAGCAAGCTTTTTCTTTCTGTAGGACAACCCACATGCAGATGCAGAACCTGGGGACCAGACAAGGCAGTAACCCTGGAAACCTATTAACTATAGGTGGAAATATAAATAGCTTAGCTCAGCATCCAGAGTTCTTCGTGGTCTTCACCCAACCTGCTGTTACAAACTTAACTCCTCCTCCTCTTCAGCTCACCAACTCTAGCTCAGCACAGCCCAGCCAACATTTATCAGGCCCTGCACTGCACCAAGAAACTGGAAAGGCATTGGAGTTACTAGGATGGACAAGATTCAGACCATTCCTTTGACAGGGACCATATTTGGTGTTTCTCAAGAAGGAGCAATGTTACCCAAACAGGAAAGAGAGAAGACAGATACAGGTAAGACTTTAAACCATACTGCAGAAAATGGTAGTGCCAAAATAGAACTGGGTTTGATTTTGTAGGTCCTGTAGGTACCAAGTGTATTTATATTTATTTTTTAGTGATTATAATAGCCTTTTATAAAATTGCAGCTTTTTGTCTTATGTTAACCTTTGCCAAATTATTTAATATCTCTCCAAGCCGTGGTTTACTCATCTTTAAAATGGATGCTAGCATGCATAGTAGCTATTTCAAAAAGTGTATTTGCATCAGTGCTGGATAAAAAGTGCTTTGCAAATTATCAGATATTATTTTGTTTTTACCAGTTTCTATATACATTGTATAAACAGTCTTACATAGGCCATAGGGAAAGAGAGTGATGCAAGACAGCTAGGACCTTTTCCAAGTCACATACACAAATCACTTGGTGACCCCACATAGATCATTTTATTTTTTCTATCCCTTGTGCTGGATTTCGAAGACAAGGAAGATTGTATCTGCCTTATATCTACCTCTTCCAAAAACAGAGAAGATGATTTAGAGTCCAGGAGACAGGCGGTACCTATGGGAAAATTGAAGGCACAATTTTTTTCATTATCTCTTTCTTTCCCTCTCTCTCTCTCTCTCTCTCAATTAAACTTTGCCAAAGACAATTTTAAAAATATATATTTTTTATTTTCTAACGCTGGCAACATTTTCAGCTTAGAAAACAAGAGTACTTAACTGCTAAAATGACCTGGTTTTTATTTCAAACTTGGAGATGCATCACAAATAGGTTGAGGTCAAAAGATGCATTTCTACCTTAGATAATGAGGAAGTGCAGCAGTGGGCAGATGGCTGTAGCGGAAAGAACATCAGAACTGGGGTGAGGATGCCTGGGTTGAAATTCCTGTTTTGTTTTTCATTAGCTATTTGACAGTGAGCAAATTTGTTCACTTGTCTGGTTCTTAATTTCCTTGTATGTAAAGTAATAACAGCACCATCTATTTTATAGAATTTCATGTCCACATTATATGGACTGCTTATATATTCAGTATATTTATTCTTGATGTAGCTGATGAATTTGGAAAATGTCGTGTAAAAGGCTACTTAAATTCTGTAAATCTTTATTGATTCCCCATGGAAAAACATCTCTACTTTTCTTCTCTATCTTCACTCGCTCCCATGGTGATCCCATGGTGTTTCATGATCTCAGATACTATTTGTATGTGAACATCATGAATCATGAATGATTCTCATCTCTCTGGAAACTCTGTGTCTCCATTTGAATGTCCAATGAGCATCTCAAACTTATCATGTGCAACATGTGTTTCCAATCTCCTCTTTCCAACCTGCTTCACTTAAAATTATCCTCCTTTCTGTGAATAGCAACTTTCTTCAGTTGCTTAAGCTCAAAAACCTTGGAGCCTTTCTTGACCCCCTCCCCTTTCTAACCCCCATTCAAGCTATCAGCAAATTCTGGAGGCCTTCCCTATGATCATAACATGTTCCAGAATCCCACCACTACCTACCATCTCCAGATATCACCACCCCAATCCAAGACACCATTTATTCTCACCTGGATTCTTACAGCAGCTTCCTGACTAGTCTCTGCTTTTTTTTTTTTTTTTTTTTTTTTGAGACAGAGTTTTGCTCTTGTTGCCCAAGCTAGAGTGCAATGGCACGATCTCGGCCCACTGCAACCTCCGCCTCCCGGGTTCAAGTGATTCTCCTGCCTCAGCCTCCCGAGTAGCTGGGACTACAGGCATGTGCCATCATGCCTGGCCAATTTTGTATTTTTAGTAGAGACGGGGTTTCTCCATGTTGGTCAGGCTGGTCTTGAACTCTCAACCTCAGGTGATCTGCCCACGTCGGTCTCCCAAAGTGCTGGGATTACAGACATGAGACACCACGCCCAGTTAGTTTCTGTTTTGCACTTGCTCATGTAGAAACTTCTGAACATGGTGGCCAATGCCATTCTATTTTTTAAAAAATTAGTTTGATCCTGTCACTCCTCTGTTCAAAACCTTCCTAAGACTTTTGACTTGAACTGAGTCAAGTCCAAGTTCTTACCCTAGCCCCCCAGGCCTGTGTGGCCTCTCTGACCTCTAGCTTCCTCCTCTCCAGCCTCACTGGTCCCTTTGGCGCGCCTGAGTACTCTGCCCTGTTCTTATCAGGACTTTCCTTCTGGTGGCTTCCTCTGCTCCCACCTACCTCCATGTCCTGCTCTCTCACCTCCTTCAATCTTTGCCTAAATGTCAACTTCCCGGACCACCCCACTTAAAATTGCACTCCCAATTCCCGCCCTCCCCATCCCCCTTCCTTGCTTTATTTTTATCCACAGCACTTTTCATCTTCTGACATTCTACGTGTTCCACTTACAACTAGAATATAAACCCCATGAAAACTGCCATTTCGTTTTATGCACTCACTTATTCCTCTGTAACTGTGCTTGGCCCTAGAAGGCAATTATTAAGTATTTGTTGAATGAGTGAATAAATGAGTAGGACATTCTATTAAGTGTAAGGAACATCAGCTCATGTACTCCTCATAATAACTATTGGTTACATTATCTCCATTTTACAAACGAATAAACCGAAGGTTTTAGAGATTAAGTAATTTGCTTGTGTTTATTCAGTAGCATATTGTGAGAGTCAAATCAGGTCTGGCAATTTGCAAATTCACGTTGTTTCTATTATGCTACAAAACATAATACATTTTTAAAGGAACTGAAAATATATGCTTAGGTTTTTTTGTTGTTGTTGTTGTTGTTTAAAATTTCTGGCCCTAACTCCTTGCTCTCTACTGGGTTGGTTAGGTAGGAGAAGATTCTGTACACATCCCAGAGATGTGTACATGTGCTGAGCTTCGGCTCTGTTCCCAGATAGAATCCTGTTTCTATCCCCTCTCATCTGGGGCATGAGAGTGTGGAAGGCCAGGCTGGGGAGGGCTGGTGTTTCATGCAAATGTCTCTGCTGTTGATGAGCCCAGCTTGGCTGCATGTTTCAGCTCCCTGAAACCTCCTTCACAGTCAGGCAGGCTTCCGTCTCCAGTCTTTTAAAACTATTTTTTTTTCTTTCCTTCACACAGCTTTCTGTCTCCTTCTCTTAGCTTGACGTTGTGTCTGGCCACACAGGCCATGTGGGCTATTTTTACTGACAGCAGTCACCAGCCCATATGGTTGCCATTACCACAAAATGTTACCTTCATTGACACCAGTTTGCAAGTGAGTGGACGGCGGACAAGGAGGATGTCGAGTCCACATGGCCAGTCACAGGGCTCACAGGGTTTGCCTTGGCAGGTATGTTGATCTTGATGAATGCCCTTTAAAACAAAATGGGGTTGGACAAAATGCCGATTAATTACTTAGGTATTTTGTTCTTCCTTTTCCCTTCCATGTTCATTTTAGTACGTTTTCAAGAGGGTCAAGTTTCAACGGTAGG
This sequence comes from Homo sapiens, assembly GCF_000001405.40. Lineage (NCBI taxonomy): Eukaryota > Metazoa > Chordata > Mammalia > Primates > Hominidae > Homo > Homo sapiens. Next base: position 108,017,145 of record NC_000009.12, read on the forward strand.
TTGCTTTTTATAGAGAGGCAGATTTGAGTTTTGTTTATTTCCATTTTTGGAGCTTGCTGCATGGTGGTACCTCCATGGGCGATGATGCTTATTAGCCCCTCGGGGAGTGACAGACAATAGCACACAGCCTTCAGTGCAGAGTCTATGAGTTTATGATGAGATGAAGTGAATCCTGAGAATTCCCTTTCTCTGGAAAGAGGATTAGAGACCCTCAGGGTGTCAATACTGTTGGTAACATCTCTCTTTCTGCATAGAAAACACTTTATAATTCGCACAACATTTTCAAATGCACCGTCTTATTTGAGTCTCACACCCTTGCTATGAGATTGACTTTTTTTCCATCTTCATTTTATAAGTGAGAAAACAGAAGCTGTGAGAGGCTGACTTTCCCAAGTCTGCGTGACTAGTAAGAATCCAAGATGGGATTCAACCTCAGCTTCCTGGACTTCAGGCCAGAGCTCAAGCCTCAACATTACGGCTGCCTCAGTGACTTGAAAGAAAACCGGGCAGGGCTTCTTCAAGGACATAAGCTAGCAGCTCACAATGGGGCCTGATGGGACATGTTGCATCGAAACTAGAAGTTGGCATTGAGATCCAGCCTCACTGTGGCACTACAAAGCTGCCGCCACGTCAGCTGGATGACACTGAAATGGACGAGAACAAAAGGCTTTTTCCTGCAGTGTGTAATGTCCCCTTACCAAGGCCCAGGAGCTATTGTGATGCACTGAGCGTAAAGCTTCCAGAGCAGTGAGTAGGTGAAAAGGAGAACTCTGGGCTGAGAATGAGATTTCAGGCAAAGGTGAGTCACTCTGAGGCCCTACTAGCCCAGCTGGGCCATCTGTGATCAGAACCTTCCCACCAGGCCTACCAAGGTCTTCTCTTCCCCTCCACTTTCTCCGGCTTCGCTGTGCCCTTTCAGTTCCTCAGCCACACAGAGCTCTTTCTTAAAGTCTTTGGCCACGTTGTTCTCTTTTCGTGGAACATTCCTCCCTGTTCTCTGCAAGGCAGACTCTTCCACATAAATGTTCCCATCTCAGAAAGTCTTTTTGTGGCCACTGTAGTTGGTTAAATAAGTGACCTCTCCAACAAGACATGTCCAAATTCTAACCCCTGGAACCTATAAAGGTGACTTTGTTTGGAAAAAGTGTCTCTGCAGGTGTAAATAAGTTCAGGGTCTCCAGGTGAGATCGTTCTGGATTTAGTTGGGTCCTGAATTCTATGACAGGTGTCCTTAGAAGAAGAAGAGAGAACTCAGAGACATTTAGGGAGAAGAAGGTAATGTGGAAATGGTGGCAAAGATGGAGTGGGCAGCCCACGTCAAGGGATGCTGACAGCCAGCAGAGGCTGGAAGAGGCAAGGAGGATTCTCCCCTAGAGCTATCAGAGCAGCCCTGCTGATTTGATTTTGGACTTCTGACCTCTGGAGCTATAAGACTATATTTCTGTTATTTTTAAGCCACCAAGTTTGTGGTAATTTTTTGCAGTAGATCTAGAAAACTAATACAGTCACCTAATCCAAGTAACACCTTCACCCTCCCCACATACACACTGTTGGAATTCATCGCTAATTTCACGTTTGCCTCTTTCATGCCAATGATCGATTTCTAACTCTACCACCATTTGGGATGTCTTATGTTTTGTCCGTATTCCCTCTTCATGTCTCTCTTTAGGCTATCGTTGGCTGAGATAGTTGGCTGACAGTTTTGCGGAATACTGGTCAGGTATTTTGTAGAATGTCCCTCCATTGGAATTCAATGTTTTCCTCATGATTAGACAGGGATTATGTTTTTTTTTTAAAGGAAGATCTCACAGATGTAAAGTGCCATTCTCATCACATCATATCCAGGGTACTCACCATCAATAATATTTATCGCTGTTGATAGTAACGTTGGTCATTTGGCCAAGGCAGTGCTTGTCAGGTTTCTCCACTGTATAGTTACTCTTTTTTTTTTTTTTTTTCCGTTCTATACTGTACTCTGGAAGAGAGTCTCTATGAGAAGCTATAATTCATTTTTAAGCTACAGTTATGCTTTGATTTAATAAGCAATGCTTTAAATAACATCCACATTGATTGTCACAACTCTCTCAATGGAAAATTAAGAGTCAGAGAGGTTAAGCTATCTTCCCAAGGTCACACAGCCAATAAGTAGAGAATGGAGACAAATTGTTAGATCTGACTCCACACTCTGACCTTCTCACCATGCTCTTTTTATACTGCTTCCTTAGAATACTAATCAACTAAATTCTTAACATAAATTTTCAAATGTCCTGGGTCTTGCTCTGCTGAGAGTGAAATAGAAAAGCGGGTTGGGAGGGGTAATAATTTACCATCTGCACTGTCTTTGGAAAACTTTAATATACAGATCTATTCTGTATACCAACGTAAATAGTAAACTAAAGTCCATATGTATTCAAACTTCCTTAGTTTATCTTTGTGCCCCTAACACTATGAATAAGAGCCACACATCATGTCAGCTCTGCCTGGCACACCTGGGGAACTCATACTCTAGCTTTGACAATCTAACCCATTCATAGCAGAGAGCTGTGGAGGGGCACAAAGTGCTTTAGGACCATTATCAAGGGCTATAGGAAAAAGTTAATGTAACATCCTACAATACCACAGTTTAAAGGACTTGAAGGCTCAGAGTGGTAGTAACTTACTGAAGGTTACCCAGGGAGATATTGGTAGAGCAGGAACTAGAAACCAGGTCTTTGATTTAGCTCAAGGCTCCTTCTATTTAAGACAAGTGGCTTCCAAGAAGAAGCATCCCATGGCTGATCATTGTTCACACTTGGCAGGCTCCATTGTTAAAAGCTTAGTCTGAAAAATGGGCTTCCTATTACTGGTGAGTCATTGTCTTCATATCATCTTGACTCCAGCTGACCAGCCAAGTGGGGACATGTAGCTAATTCCTTATGAGCTTCATCTGTCCCTCATGAGTAAATCTTTAACCTCTAGGCTAACAAGGGCTGATGATGAAGGCACCCAAACATAGTAAGTACATAAATAGACTGAAACCAAAGAAAAAGGGAGAGAGTCAAGGATCTCATGTCTGCTATCTTCCTGTCCTACAGGGAAGACATCCTCCTTCCATTGAGGTCATATCAAGAGCTTGGGTGAGGACCACATAAGAAGAGACTACAATCCCACTGGTCTGCATAACCAAGGACAGAAGTCAGGTGACATGGGCTGGACATATTTTCTTTTATGGGATTCAATGAGATCACAACACCAAGGACTACTGCAGTAAGTTAGTGGCATCTAAAAACGCTCAGAGTAGATTCCTTTTAGGTATTTGTGTAACAACTTCAGTGGTGGCAAACATTTGTGTAGAAATTTCTCTTCTGTGCTATCTCCAGCAAGTTTAATGACATGATTGTTAACATTTTACAAAGGAATAAATTAAAGCTCAGAGAAGTTAAATCTCCTGCCCAAGACTATGGAATTGTAGGTGAATTTAAGATTTCAGCTGTGATCTTTTGACTTCCCACTTTGATGGTGACCATCCCTGTCTCCTATTTCTGCTTAAAACACAAACCTATTGATCCTACATATTCCATGCTCCATTCTAAGTTCAGATATGCTAATTCTAATTCTAATGCTAATTTTAGTGTGTTAGTCCATTTGCATTGCTATAAAGGAATACCTGAGGTTGGGTAATTTATAAGGAAAAGAAGCTTATTTAGCTCACAGTTCTGCAGGCTGTACAAGAAGCATGGAGCCAGCATCTGCTTCTGGTGGGGCCCTCTGGAAGCTTGTAATCATGGTATAAAGCAAAGAGGGAGGCCGTATATCACATGGTAAAAGAGGAGCAAGAGAGATGGGGAACTGCCACACTCTTTTAAACAACTGGATCTCATGCAAATTTATTATGACTCTTTTGAGCAAAGAGGGCACCCAGCCATTCATGAGAGATTCACCCCCATAATCCAACATCCTCAAACAGGCCCCACCCCCAACATTGGGGATCACATTTCAACATGAGATTTGGAGGGGACACACATACAAACCACATCAGTTAACAACCAAAAAAGAAGTAGCAAGAGATGTACAAGATATTTTAATTCTATAAACTAAAAAATAAAAAGGGATCAATGGGGAACTTTGGGGTGGATTTTTAAGGGAGAGTCTTTTGTTGCTTCAGAGATGATGAAAGACACCAGATACACTGGGGAAGTGGCAGAGGAAGAGAAGACTAACATATAAATAGGGTTAGCTAAAGGGATGGGTGCACTTTAAAATGAGGAGTGGAATGGTGGAGGGTCTGAACTTTGTATCTCTTTGAAGCTTTCCCTTCAGGCACATTCTTTTCCTTTGTGCTCACCCACTTCTGTATGTTTCTTACCATGTGTAGCTTTCCCTGCATAGCTGTTCTCACAGGGGTCATCTGTTTCCTTATTCTGTGAGCGCCCCAAGGCCAGGAGCTGTTCTGATTCATTTCCATTAATCCAGCAGTGCCCTGCAGGGAGCTATACATAGTGCAGACCTTAGACTATTGCTGATTGATTAAATGAATAAATGAATGAATGAATAACAATTGAAGAAAGAGGGTGAAGCTATCACAGGTCTACCTTTTGGAGACTTTCCATTCTGGGACATCACAACAGGTTTCAAGCACATTTCCTTTCAAGTGTAAATGTAAATACCAGTTAAGCAGAAGGAATCTCTGGAAATAATGGTGGTGGAAGACAAATGGTAACTAACTCTATCATGAGACCAGAGATCAGAAACTTCTTTTGATAATAGATCTTCCTACAGTGGGGAGACAATGAAACTGTGATAATGTTTTGAGGGACTTGATGGAAAGGGTCATGTCTTGGAGACAAAGATTATAAGACCATAGACATAGATAGAGAAAACACAAGAAATGCTAATCATTTTCTTATTGAGATGAAATTAATGTAACATAAAAGTAACTATTTTAAAGTGAACAATTTGGTGGTATTTAGTACTTTTATAATGTGCAACCACTACTTCTATCTATGCAAAATATTTTCATCCGCCAGAAATGAAATCCCATACCCACTAAGAAGTGGTTCCTCAATCCTCTTGTACCTGGTACCTGTCAATCTGTGTTCTGTCTCTGTTGATTTACTCAGTCTGGATATTTTATTAATATTTAAGTGGGGCTATACAATACAATCCAACCTCTTGTGTCTGGCTTCATTCACTTATTTTCACTTAACATTTATTGTGTCATAGCATTTATTGGCACTTATTTCCTTTTCATGGCTGACTAATAATCCATTGTAGACTTATTTACCACATTTGGTTTGTCCATTCATCAGTTAATGGATGTTTGGGTTGTTTTCAGCTTTGGGCTGTTATGAATCATGCTGCTATGCATGTCCATGTACTTGTTTGAGTAGCAAAAAAAAACTGTTTTAAAGTCTAAATTCTAAGCAAGCATCTGACTTCAAAGTGAGAAGCCAAAGGAAAGGGAGAATTCAGCAAAGGGGTCTGAGGGAAGAGGCATTTTACTTGCCCTCCAGGGAGTATATAGTGAGGCATTGAGCCAAGGAGGGCTATATTTGAAAAGTGCTCTATGCTCACTAAAGGGAACATTCTGAATATGAGGAAAATGAAGGTGGTTTCCAGATGACAAACTAATTCCATCAGTCAGAGAATGAAGGCCATTCATGATCCCTTTTCCAAGACTCCCTTTTGTCTATAAACAAACTACAGAGCCTCTCCTAATACATTGTTTCTGGTTGCAGACACGACAACAGACTCAGTTCGCTTTCCCTACGTCAGTCTTTCCTCCAGAGCCCAGGAGTTCGGGATGAGGGTAGTGGAAGGAAGAGGGAGGAGGGAAAGGAATAAGTGTCTTGTAGAACACCACTGGACAGGAAAAACACTGGCAAAGAAAGCTAACTTACCATGTCCTGGGTACTGCATGACATGTTTTCACACAGATCATTTCATTCATCCTGACAACAGCCCTGTGACATGGGCATGCATAATATTTTCATTTTATGATAGAAGAAACTGAGGTTCAGAGAGGTTAAGCAATTTATCCAAGATCATGCCACTCGTTAGTGATGGAGGAAGCCTTCAACTCCAGGTCCTATATTCTTAATTACTGCAGTGACTGCAACCCTCTAGTCTTCCCTAAGCAGGAGCAAAATATTGATTGATTTCCTCTTTTTACCAAGCCCTGGGGTTGGATTATCACTCAGGACCTTTTAAGGATAACAACAAACATTCCTTGAAAATAATTAAACCCACTTTGACTGGGCGCGGTGGCTCACGCCTATAATCCCACCACTTTGGGAGGCTGAGGTGGGCGGATCATGAGGTCAGGAGATCGAGACCATCCTGGATAACACGGTGAAACCCCATCTCTACTAAAAATACAAAAAAATTAGCCAGGCATGGTGGCGGGCACCTGTAGTCCCAGCTACTCGGGAGGCTGAGCCAGGAGAATGGCGTGAATCTGGGAGGCGGAGCTTGCAGTGAACTGAGATCGCACGGCTGCACTCCAGCTTGGGCGACATAGTGAGATTCCATCTCAATGGCTGCACTCCAGCCTGGGTGACATAGTGAGATTCCATCTCAAAAAAAAAAAAAAAATTAAACCCACTTTATATAACTGACTAAGTAGAATGTCTTAAGCAGTACCTTCAGCCAAACGAATGATGAAGTCAGAATGCCCACTACAGTGAACTGAATGGAAACTCTGCTAACAGATGATGTTTACTGGGCTCTACCCCAAGTATGTTACATGGAACCTCATTTAGTCCCAGGAAACCTATGACCTATACCCTACTTGCAGTTTTACCTTACCATCTCCCCAGCTGGATGCAGAGCTTCTCTCTTTGTCTTTGGGAGCAGGATAGGGCCTGGCAAGAAGCAGGTGCTCAGTAGTAAACAGATTCCAGTGTGGTGAGCCCAGGGGCATCTCTTCACTCCCTCCTAGGGCAGAAGGTAATCTCGGGACAGGAGCTCCTTGACCATTCCCCAGGGCCTCACCTGGCTCTTTCCATCACTTTTGTACAATCAGGTTATACAGTCACCGGAAGTATGAATTAGACTGGTCATTTGTACCAGAGATGATACGTTTTGTGAAGAGAGGCCTTGGTTTCTCTGTCAGCAATAGTATAAATTACAGTCTTTTTCACCAGGAGTCTTACTGCTCATTCCGAGCAGACTTTATCCAATGTGAACTGCTCAGTGTTCAGGCTTGGACTCTTGTAGAGGTGTGATCTTGGTAAGCTCAATGGAATTTTCTGCATCTTTACACATGTGTAATATTATCCAATAATACCCACCTCATAGAGTGATTGTAGAAATACGATGATAACAACAATGACAAGCATAACAAAAGTGATAATAGCTAATGTGTATTGTGGGTTTGCTATCTGCCATGTTGCATTGGGCTTAGGTTTTTCTTGTATTTTTTTAATTCTCCCCAAACATGTGTTTGTGTACATATACATACATGCACATGTATATATATATTTACATTATGTGTGTGTGTCCCTATATGTTATCACACATGAAAGGATTTGGTGCTTTTACCAGATATGGTAGTTCCTTAGTAAATGTAACTGATGGTGATGATGTCTGTATATGTTCTGATATAGAGAAAAATGTAGACCAATTCTACAGAAAAACAAGTGGCATTGATTCCTCAAGGAAGGGTGCAGCACATGGCAAGGAGAGAGTTACACATGGGAGAAGAAAAACACTGTTTTTTTTCTTTGCACATCTTTATATCATTTGATGTTTTATCTGAGCATATAGAACAATTTATTAAGTTCAACATTCTCTTAATCTCTTTTTAGTGAGAAAATTGGTGAAACACATTATCACTTTGGAATAAAAGTCATTAAAACAAGAGCCATTCAGGGGATCATTGAGAAGTCCTATGTAAAGGGACATTCATTGCAAACCTGTGAGGAACAGAGGAAAAGTCCCATGTTCACTCATCCTAGCTCCATACTGTGACCCTGCACCTTGCAGTATAAACTCCACAGACACATAGTTCTCACGAAGCCAGTATGCTTCTGAAATGTATTAGATCACATTCTTCTTTCACATTTTCTTGCACAGAACCTTTTTTTCCCAGTTAGCCAAGGCCTCTATTTACCTGGGAAATAACTTTTAAAATTTTGAGCAACAGTTCATAGGAGGAATAGCATCACTGTCCAGCTTTTAATATTTTCCCCTTGGGTATAGTGAGTCAAGAGTCTTAGAAGGTAGATGTTGCTGAGAAGAGATTCTGAAATCCCCCAAACCCCCTTACTTATCAGGAGATACTTCTAATGTGTTGCTCTGAGCAACTTGGAATATGAGTTTGGGAAGTGATCAAGTTTGTATGTTTATTTCTCCCAAATCTCATGTTGAAATGTAATCCCTAATGTTGGAGGTGGGGCCTGGTAGGAGGTGTTTGGGTTATGAAGGTGGATACCTTATGAATTGGTTGGTGCCCTCTCCATGGTAATAAGTGAGTTCTCCTTCTTTTAGTTCATGTGAGAGCTAATTGTTTAAAAGAGCTTGGCATCTCTCTTGCTTCCGCTCTTGCCATGTGACATGCCTGCTCCGCTTACAACTTCTGCCATGAGTAAACACTGCTGCCATGCTTCTTGTACAGCCTGCAGAATTACAAGTTATATAAACCTCTTTTCTTTATAAATTGCCCAGCCTCAGGTATTCCTTTATAGCAATGCAAAATGGACTAATACAGGGAGCCTCCTAGAAGCATTCAGAGGAAGAGGAAATGCTTCCATTGGAAAGTTTATGGAGAAGAAATAGTTGGCAAAACCGCAATTAGTTTTGCACCAACCTAATAGAACCAAAATCTCCACATCAGTGTCTGTACTACCCCAACTCTTTGAGGGAGGCAATATTTAGGGGGTGGGGTAGTGGACTTTTCCAGTAGGTATAAGGGAATCAGAACATTGCCCTGCTTCCTTAAGTATAGTAACAATAGCAATGATAATAACAGCAACTACAAGAATTTACCATTATGGGCTCTTCATACATGCCAGGTGGTTTCCTAAGTCTATTATGTACATGATTTCATTGAACCCTCATAATAAGTTCATGAGGCAAGTACTATTACATAGGCAAGTTACCCCCATTTCAGAGATGAGGGAATGGAGGCACAGTGAAATTGAAATAAATTTGTCAAGGCCACTAGCTAAGAAGTGACTGAAGTGAGTTTTAAGTTGAAGAATGATGCAGAATCTATGTTCTAAACCCAAGACAGTGCTGCTGCTTGGTCATGACACAAGCTTTTACTTACTGAGGCTTATGATGTGCTAGGTCCTGTTTTAAGGGCATTAAAAATGTTATCACATTTGACTCTTAGTAACCACAAAATATAGTGCTATTATTGGCCCGATGTTACACATGAAGATACACAAGAATAGAAAAGATTTAAACTTTCATAAATGTATCCATTTAGCAAGTACTACCATGGGATTTATTTTATTTTATTTTATTTTTATTATTATTATACTTTAAGTTTTAGGGTACATGTGCACAATGTGCAGGTTTGTTACATATGTATACATGTGCCATGTTGCTGTGCTGCACCCATTAACTCGTCATTTAGCATTAGGTATATCTCCTAATGCTATCCCTCCCCACTCCCCCAACCCCACAATAGTCCCCGGTGTGTGATGTTCCCCTTCCTGTGTCCATGTGTTCTCATTGTTCAATTCCCACCTATGAGTGAGAACATGCGGTGTTTGGTTTTTTGTCCTTGTGATAGTTTCCTGAGAATGATGGTTTCCAGCCTCATCCATTTCCCTACAAAGGACATGAACTCATCATTTTTTATGGCTGCATAGTATTCCATGGTCTATATGTGCCACATTTTCTTAATCCAGTCTGTTGGACATTTGGGTGGGTTCCAAGTCTTTGCTATTGTGAATAGTGCCGCAATAAACATACGTGTGCATGTGTCTTTATAGCAGCATGATTTATAATCCTTTGGGTATATACCCAGTAATGGGATGGCTGGGTGAAATGGTATTTCTAGTTCTAGATCCCTGAGGAATCGCCACACCGACTTCCACAATGGTTAAACTAGTTTACAATCCCACCAACAGTGTAAAAGTGTTCCTGTTTCTCCACATCCTCTCCAGCACCTGTTGTTTCCTGACATTTTAATGATCACCATTCTAACTGGTGTGAGATGGTATCTCATTGTGGTTTTGATTTGCATTTCTCTGATGGCCAGTGATGATGAGCATTTTTTCATGTGTTTTTTGGCTGCATAAATGTCTTCTTTTGAGAAGTGTCTGTTCATATCCTTCGCCTACTTGTTGATGGGGTTGTTTGTTTTTTTCTTGTAAATTTGTTTGAGTTCATTGTAGATTCCGGATATTAGCGCTTTGTCAGATGAGTAGGTTGCAAAAATTTTCTCCCATTCTGTAGGCTGCCTGTTCACTCTGATGGTAGTTTCTTTTGCTGTGCAGAAGCTCTTTAGTTTAATTAGATCCCACTTGTCAATTTTAGCTTTTGTTGCCATTGCTTTTGGTGTTTTAGACATGAAGTCCTTGCCCATGCCTATGTCCTGAATGGTATTGCCTAGGTTTTCTTCTAGGGTTTTTATGGTTTTAGGTCTAACATTTAAGTCTTTAATCCATCTTGAATTAATTTTTGTACAAGGTGCAAGGAAGGGATCCAGTTTCAGCTTTCTACATATGGCTAGCCAGTTTTCCCAGCACCATTTATTAAATAGGGAATCCTTTCCCCATTTCTTGTTTTTGTCAGGTTTGTCAAAGATCAGATAGTTGTAGATATGTGGCATTGTTTCTGAGGGCTCTGTTCTGTTCCATTGGTCTATATCTCTGTTTTGGTACCAGTACCATGCTGTTTTGGTTACCGTAGCCTTGTAGTATAGTTTGAAGTCAGGTAGCATGATGCCTCCAGCTTTGTTCTTTTGGCTTAGGATTGACTTGGTGATGCGGGCTCTTTTTTGGTTCCATATGAACTTTAAAGTAGTCTTTTCCAATTCTGTGAAGAAAGTCATTGGTAGCTTGATGGGGATGGCATTGAATCTATAAATTACCTTGGGCAGTATGGCCATTTTCACGATATTGATTGTTCCTACCCATGAGCATGGAATGTTCTTCCATTTGTTTGTATCCTCTTTTATTTCATTGAGCAGTGGTTTGTAGTTCTCCTTGAAGAGGTCCTTCACATCCCTTGTAAGTTGGATTCCTAGGTATTTTATTCTCTTTGAAGCAATTGTGAATGGGAGTTCACTTATGATTTGGGTCTCTGTTTGTCTGTTATTGGTGTATAAGAATGCTTGTGAGTTTTGCACATTGATTTTGTATCCTGAGACTTTGCTGAAGTTGCTTATCCACTTAAGGAGATTTTGGGCTGAGATGATGGGGTTTTCTAGATGTACAGTCATGTCATCTGCAAACAGGGACAATTTGACTTCCTCTTTTCCTAATCGAATGCCCTTTATTTCTTTCTCCTTCCTGATTGCCCTGGCCAGAACTTCCAACACTATGTTGAATAGGAGTGGTGAGAGAGGTCATCCCTGTCTTGTGCCAGTTTTCAAAGGAAATGCTTCCAGTTTTTGTCCATTCAGTATGATATTGGCTATGGGTTTGTCATAGATAGCTCTTATTATTTTGAGATACGTCCCATCAATACCTAACTTATTGAGAGTCTTTAGCATGAAGGTTGTTGAATTTTGTCAAAGGCCTTTTCTGCATCTATTGAGATAATCATGTGGTTTTTGTCTTTGGTTCTGTTTATATGCTGGATTACGTTTATTGATTTTCGTATGTTGAACCAGCCTTGCATCCCAGGGATGAAGCCCACTTGATCATGGTGGATAAGCTTTTTGATGTGTTGCTGGATTCGGTTTGCCAGGATTTTATTGAGGATTTTTGCATCAATGTTCATCAAGGATATTGATCTAAAATCCTCTTTTTTTCTTGTGTCTCTGCCAGGTTTTGGTATCAGGATGATGCTGGCCTCATAAAATGAGTTAGGGAGGATTCCCTCTTTTTCTGTTGATTGGAATAGTTTCAGAAGGAATGGTACCAGCTCCTCCTTGTACTTCTGGTAGAATTTGACTGTGAATCCGTCTGGTCCCGGACTTTTTTGGTTGCTAGGCTATTAATTATTGCCTCAATTTCAGAGCCTGTTATTGGTCTATTCAGAGATTCAACTTCTTCCTGGTTTAGTCTTGGGAGAGTGTATGTGTCGAGGAATTTATCCATTTCTTCTAGATTTTCTAGTTTATTTGTGTAGAGGTGTTTATAGTATTCTCTGATGGTAGTTTGTATTTCTGTGGGATTGGTGGTGATATCCCCTTTATCATTTTTTATTGCGTCTATTTGATTCTTCTCTCTTTTCTTCTTTATTAGTCTTGCTAGCAGTCTATCAATTTTGTTGATCTTTTCAAAAAACCAGCTCCCAGATTCATTGATTTTTTTGAAGGGTTTTTTGTGTCTCTATTTCCTTCAGTTCTGCTCTGATCTTAGTTATTTCTTGCCTTCTGCTAGGTTTTGAATGTGTTTGCTCTTGCTTCTCTAGTTCTTTTAATTGTGATGTTAGGGTGTCAATTTGAGATCTTTCCTGCTTTCTCTTGTGGGCATTTAGTGCTATAAATTTCCCTCTACACACTGTTTTGAATGTGTCCCAGAGATTCTGGTATGTTGTGTCTTTGTTCTCATTGGTTTCAAAGAACATCTTTATTTCTGCCTTCATTTCGTTATGTACCCAATAGTCACTCAGGAGCAGGTTGTTCAGTTTCCATGTAGTTGAGCGGTTTTGAGTGAGTTTCTTAATCGTGAGTTCTAGTTTGATTGCACTGTGGTCTGAGAGACAGTTTGTTATAATTTCTGTTCTTTTACATTTGCTGAGGAGTGCTTTATTTCCAACTATGTGGTCAACTTTGGAAGAGGTGTGGTGTGGTGCTGAGAAGAATGTATATTCTGTTGATTTGGGGTGGAGTTCTGTAGATGTCTATTAGGTCCGCTTGGTGCAGAGCTGAGTTCAATTCCTGGATATCCTTGTTAACTTTCTGTCTTGTTGATCTGTCTAATGTTGACAGTGTGGTGTTAAAGTCTCCCATTATTATTGTGTGGGAGTCTAAGTCACTTTGTAGGTCACTAAGGACTTGCTTTATGAATCTGGGTGCTCCTGTATTGGGTGCATATATATTTAGGATAGTTAATTCTTCTTGTTGAATTGATCCCTTTACCATTATGTAATGGCCTTCTTTGTCTCTTTTGATCTTTGTTGGTTTAAAGTCTGTTTTATCCAAGACTAGGATTGCAACCCCTGCCTTTTTTTGTTTTCCATTTGCTTGGTAGATCTTCCCCCATCCCTTTATTTTGAGCCTATGTGTGTCTCTGCACATGAGATGGGTTTCCTGAATACAGCATACTGATGGGTCTTGACTCTTTATCCAATTTGCCAGTCTGAGTCTTTTAATTGGAGCATTTAGCCCATTTACATTTAAGGTTAGTATTGTTATGTGTGAATTTGATCCTGTCATTATGATGTTAGCTGGTTATTTTGCTCATTAGTTGATGCAGTTTCTTCCTAGCCTTGATGGTCTTTACAATTTGGCATGTTTTTGCAGTGGGTGGTACTGGTTTTTCCTTTCCATGTTTAGTGCTTCCTTCAGAGCTCTTTTAGGGCAGGCCTGGTGGTGACAAAATCTCTCAGCATTTGCTTGTCTATGAAGTATTTTATTTCTCCTTCACTTATGAAGCTTAGTTTGGCTGGATATGAAATTCTGGGTTGAAAATTCTTTTCTTTAAGAATGTTGAATATTGGCCACCACTCTCTTCTGGCTTGTAGGGTTTCTGCCAAGAGATCCGCTGTTAGTCTGATGGGCTTCCCTTTGAGGGTAACCCGACCTTTCTCTCTGGCTGCCCTTAACATTTTTCCTTCATTTTAACTTTGGTGAATCTTACGGTTATGTGTCTTGGAGTTGCTCTTCTCGAGGAGTATCTTTGTGGTGTTCTCTGTATTTCCTGAATCTGAACGTTGGCCTACCTTGCTAGATTGGGGAATTTCTCCTGGATAATATTCTGCAGAGTGTTTTCCAACTTGGTTCCATTCTCCCCATCACTTTCAGGTACACCAATTAGACGTAGATTAGGTCTTTTCACATAGTCCCCTATTTCTTGGAGGCTTTGTTCATTTCTTTTTATTCTTTTTTCTCTAAACTTCTCTTCACGCTTCATTTCATTCATTTCATCTTCCATCGCTGATACCCTTTCTTCCAGTTGATTGCATCGGTTACTGAGGCATGTGCATTCGTCACATAGTTCTCATACCATGGTTGTCAGCTCCATCAGGTCCTTTAAGGACTTCTCTGCATTGGTTATTCTAGTTATCCATTCATCTAATTTTTTTTTCGAAGTTTTAAACTTCTTTGCCATTGGTTCGAACTTCCTCCTTTAGCTCGGAGTACTTTGATCTTCTGAAGCCTTCCTCTCTCAACTCGTCAAAGTCATTCTCCGTCCAGCTTTGTTCCGTTGCTGGTGAGGAGTTGCGTTCCTTTGGAGGAGGAGAGGTGCTCTGATTTTTAGAGTTTCCAGTTTTTCTGCTCTGTTTTTTCCCCATCTTTGTGGTTTTATCTACCTTTGGTGTTCGATGATGGTGACGTACAGATGGGTTTTTGGTGTGGATGTCCTTTCTGTTTGTTAGTTTTCCTTCTAACAGTCAGGACCCTCAGCTGCAGGTCTGTTGGAGCGGTCTGGAGGTCCACTCCAGACCCTGTTTGCCTGGGTATCAGCAGCGGTGGCTGCAGAACAGCAGATATTGGTGAACCGCAAATGCTGCTGCCTGGTCGTTCCTCTGGAAGTTTTGTCTCAGAGGAGTACCTGGCCGTGTGAGGTGTCAGTCCGCCCCTACTGGGGGGTGCCTCCCAGTTAGGCTACTCGGGGGTCAGGGACCCATTTGAGGAGGCAGTCTGCCTGTTGTCAGATCTCAAGCTGCGTGCTGGGAGAACCACTACTCTCTTCAAAGCTGTCAGACAGGGACATTTAAGTCTGCAGAGGTTATTGCTGTCTTTTGTTTGTCTGTGCCCTGCCCCCAGAGGTGGAGCCTACAGAAGCAGGCCGGCTTCCTTGAGCTGTGGTGGGCTCCACCCAGTTCGAGCTTCCTGGCCACTTTGTTTACCTACTCAAGCCTGAGCAATGGCAGGCGCCCCTCCCCCAGCCTCGCTGCTGCCTTGCAGTTTGATCTCAGACTGCTGTGCTAGCAATGAGTGAGGCTCCATGGGTGTAGAACCCTCCGAGCCATGTGTGGCCTATAATCTCCTGGTGTGCCGTTTGATAAGCCCGTTGGAAAAGTGCAGTATTAGGGTGGGAGTGACCCGATTTTCCAGGTGCCCTCTGTCACCCCTTTCTTTGACTAGGAAAGGGAATTCCCTGACCCCTTGCGCTTCCCGGGTGAGGCGATGCCTTGCCCTTCTTCAGCTCACGCACGGTTCACTGCACCCACTGTCCTGCACCCACTGTCCGGCACTCCCCAGTGAGATGAACCCAGTACCTCAGTTGGAAATGCAGAAATCACCCGTCTTCTGCATTGCTCACGCTGGGAGCTGTAGACTGGAGCTGTTCCTATTCGGCCATCTTGGCTCCACCCTCTACCATGGGATTTAAACCCAGGCAGACTGGGCCCAAGTCCCTTCTGACCTGAGTGGGGCTCGGGATTCCGAGTAGACAAGCGGAAAACACTGGGCCCTAAGAACTGCAGGAGAAGCACTCAAGCCCATCAGCTACAGAGGGCAACAGCCCTGGAGAAAACTTGGCCCTGGGTGTGAAAAAGTAACTTATCCACAACTCCTTCTCTTCTCGAATTTCATCAAATCACCTGGAGTACCAGAAGGGCAGCACTTGCCGCACATCCCCTTCTCCATCCTCATCAAAACTCACCTGGAGTATCAGAAAGATAGCACTAATCTATTCCCTTCTCTTCTACATCCTTATCAAAGTCTCCTGGAGTACCAGAAGGGCAGCACTCATCCCCCATCTGCTCCTATTCTTTATCCTCATCAAAGCTCAACTAGAGTAATAGAAGGATAATACTCATTCCCCAT
This sequence comes from Homo sapiens, assembly GCF_000001405.40. Classification (NCBI taxonomy): domain Eukaryota; kingdom Metazoa; phylum Chordata; class Mammalia; order Primates; family Hominidae; genus Homo; species Homo sapiens. The sequence goes on from NC_000009.12 coordinate 108,033,187, forward strand.
CCCCTTCTCCATCCTCATCAAAACTCAACTGGAGCATCAGAAAGGCAGCACTAATCTCCCACCACTTTCTCCATCCTCATTAAAGTCATCTGAAGTATGAGAAGGACGGCACTCATACTGCAGCCTCTTCTCTTCTCCATGGTCTTGAAGGCTCACCTGGAGTACCAGAACAGGCTTGCAAATCACTGCTAGTCTGTAACCTCTTTGCCCTGCAGCCAGGTTACTTTTCAGGGTTGCAAACCTTCAATGAATTTTTAATTTTATTTAATTCTAGTTAATTTAAATAGCCTCATGTGGGTAGTAGCTACCATATTGACCAGTGCAGGTCTGGAGTCCCACGTCCTTAGCCTGACAATAAGACCTTTCCTAGCCTGGGCATTACTTCTCATCCAGTCTAGAGTTTTCTAATCATGCTGCATTCACCTGCATCTGCTTTCAGTTTCTTGATCCAGCTGAGATACTTTGTCTTTCCATGCTTTTGTGCAGCCATGGGACCAGGACAAGACAAAAGTGGCACCTGAGGCATACAATGTAATGATGTGCTCCCTCTCAGGGTGGTGCACTGTAAAGTCTAGAAAGCTTTTCAATGCTTTCCCTTCTCCATTAGTCCCTGCTCACCTTTCAAGTACCAGCTCAAATGCCTCCTCCATCAGGAAGCCTTCCCCTAGCACCTTCAGGCAGAACTAAGATGCCCTTCCTTCAATGTCACCACTCTTTTTACAAAGTTTCCTTTACCTGTTTCACCATCCTCCTACACCAGGTCAGTGCTTTAAGACCAGGAGCCATCTGTCATTTATTTCTATATCCTCAATACTGTCTTGGCTAGAAAAGGTGCTCATTTGGCACCTTTGAAAATGATTGAATTGAGTTTTTGAATTCATCTGGCCTGGCCCACAATGACAGCCCCACATTTCTCAAATGTGTTTTAATCTGGGGTTAAAGTCAGGACATATGATGTCAGCCAACAGAAGGGAGGGGAGAAGTTATCATTTTCATGACGTTAAGTCTAACTTCTAAGTCCAGCTAGACTTTTCCCATGAAAGGTGCCCTGACCACCACCACATATTCCTCCACCTTCTACCCTCTGCCCCCATCCCTCCTCTTCCCCACCCACAATATGGTCTTGCTCTGTTGGGCTTCGCCAGAGTTTGGAGTCTGTTTCATCACCACCCATCCACTCCTACCTCCAGGAGATAATTGGTTGCTGCTGGTCTTGGCAGCAACCTTGAGGCTACACTTGTATTTCTATCAGCACTAATTAGTGACTAAATAAACAGCAAGAGAGCCTCAGGATAGGCCCACATGCAGGACTTTCAGACTGGGTGGAAAATGTCAAGACATAATGAAACTCCTTCTCTGAATCACATCTGGAGAATGAAAAGCTGGGGAAAGCCAAATCCTGAAACACATGAGAAAAATAGGAGAAGGGAGTACAGTTCTCCTTGGAGTTTCTTGCGTCTTTGTAACATGCTCAGGAGGAGGAAAATTCACATGGCTGGGGAGAGCCAGGAGGCTGCCTTGCCAAACATCTCCTTGCTCTGAGTTTTGCTGTGTGGGAGGTGCTGCGTGAACCTGTCATGTTGATGAAAGTTTCATGTCTGTGGAATGTTCGGAAGAGGTAAAAGCATTGAAGATTGCTCTAAAATGTGTAACACCTAATATGGGACAGGAAGTCACAGCTGTGTGGGCTGCATGGGGTCAGGGCTCATCTCAAACACACTCACTCATAATCAGAGGAGCTGCATCCCAGAGAAGGGAGGTGACTTTGCTGAGTGCATGGAAAGCTTTTGGAGCAAGAAAGTCTAGGTCTCGAATCCAGGCTCCCTGACTCCCAGGCCAGAGCAATTTCTGCTGTAGCTCAACAATAGAGGGAATAAGGTTTGGGAAACAGACGCTGACATTTTTTCCTTAATAATGTCCCATTCCACCCTTCAAAATGCCCCCAGCAGAGAGGATGGAGGACTGAGAAGCTGGCTCTCGGCTCTGGGGCTGTCACATCTCAGTAGGGGTAGACTGACAAGCTCAGAAGTAGGGGCAGATGACCTTGCATTAAGTCAGGTTCTTTAACTTGTTTGCTTGTGACTGTGGACACATCCTTTAGCTTTCTGGGCTTCACTTTCTTATCTGTGAAATGGGCCTTGTAAACCTGAACTCTTAGGTCATTTGTGGAAATTAAATGAGATAATGGATAGAAAGTAGCTAATTTAACAGCTCTATTTATGAGAGCAGCTATCCTGTGCCAACTTTGAAGCTACAGAGCTGCCAGCCTGGTGCCCAGGAGGCTGTGAACATCTATCATGGCTGGCTGGTAGGGGCAAGTTGGGGTAGAGATGCCAGTGAAAGTGGCCCCATTGGCTGCAGACACTAAATCCAAGGAGTTGCCCTCACTCCCCATGCACCCAGCAGCAGCCCCATTGCAGGCTGGGCTGAGTTCTGTCTGACTCTGCAGCAAACACCCTTCCCCTCTTCACTTCCCAAGACATCTGGAGCAGCTGACTCAAGCACCAATGAGATAATGTTTTTATTTGTTCTGTTTGTTTTTTGTTTATAAACCTGGGCTCCTGGGAGAAGCCAGATTCAAAAGTAGGTCTGAGATGTGAAGGTCAGCCTTGAGACTGACCACAGGGCCGAGGCCCAGCTGGGGAAAACACCAGGCCACCACACCTAATGGCCAGGCCAACTGCCTGTTGTTGCACTGTTACAGTTCTTCTCCTAGGTGCCCAGCCCTGGGCAGGAGGTGGGGGAGGCAGAGGCACAGCCTTCTAGGACCCAGTCTTGGAGACCCTCCAGGGTGCTCTGAAAAAGCAAGAGACTATGATAGAATGCAATATGATCGAGCTGTGACAGCAAAAGCTTGTGGGCTTATTTGAGGATTAAATGAGTTGTAGCAAGTCTTCAAGAATAGCTAACAATTACTCTAATAAAAAGGGAAGCACAGGAGCTTTTGAAGCAGCAAGAAGGCTCTAAGCTCAGTTTTGGGAGTGGGACAGTGTGGTGTGAAAGGGAGGGAAGTTTTGGCAGGGGCAGGAGGGTGATCTAATTGAGACTGGGCCCTTCTTCCTCTAGGCTGATGTGTATCCTTATCATATAAACCAGTACTTTTTTCTCCCACTACGTGCTGGAATCTATGCTAGGCTATGCTTTGAGGAGATCACAGAGATGTATAGAACTCAGTTTCTGCCCCTGCAGTGCCCATAGGTCGATGAGAAAGAGGATACATGTATAATCACACAATTGTGCAAAGCCTGCAGGAACACTCTGCAACATCCCAAGCTTCTGAGCCTCTCAAAGCCTCAGTTTCCCCATCTGGACCTATACAATTGGTATCATAATTATATGCTATCTTGCAAGGCTTTTGTGCAACAGTCCTGTAGTAAAGCAGTTAATAGTAGTAAAGCAATTAGCAGAGCTCCTAGCCCATTTTAAAAGCCCAGTAAATGCTGCTTAGTAGGATGATAGTGGTGATAAGTATTGTCCTGAGCCACTAAAGTGGGGGCAGTGGATGTATGGTGAGGATGGGAAAGGGGACATTTGGTTTGAAACATAAAAGATGAATAAGAGTCAAGTATGCAGAGGGATCAATGCAGAAAAAGAACTGGCAGGGAGGATGGTACTACATTCTGGGAAAACAATAGCAGCTGTGATGTGGGTTAATATGAAGGCTGAGCCCCTTCTCGAGCATCTGCAGGTGCTTGGAAAGATGAAGAGTCACTTCAAGGACTTCAAGAATCTTGGATGTCAATGTATAGGTTTTGTCTTGTAGACCAATGGTTTTAAATACTCTCTTCTCTTCTTTCCTTCCTTTCTTCTTTTCTTTTCCTTTCTCCCTCCCTGTCTTCCTCTCTCTCCATTTCCTTTTAGCAATTGAACTTTTCATTTGAAAGCAATGTTAAACAGAAGCCCATTATAAAGAACAAATAGAGGTGGAACTGCTGTTTGAAAGTTACCTATGGAACTACCATAGCTGGGGGTTTCCCCAGAAAGCACGGCCTGAGATAAGCATTTGTGCGCAGGTAGTTGCTTTTTGGATACAACCTCAGGGAACAGTAACAAGGGGGTAGGACATGAGGAAAGGAAGAAAGCCAATACCAGTGGTGCCATGTCCAGCTAATCATCACCATGGACAATGGAGGCTGGATTCTGCAGGGACCTTCTGAGGACCATATAGAAAGTCCTTCAAAATTGTCTGCCTGATGGTGAGAAATGGGGTCACAAAATCCACCTGCTTTCTGCCCCCGTTGGTTAAGGATTGCCCCATAGGTTGTTAACTCCCTTGCATTTTCAAGTTTTCCTGAGCGTAGATGTTGAGCAGGGTACCATGGTTGCCCTACTTCTTGATGTTCCAGAAGCCCCGGGGCAGTAAGTCAGCAAGATGGAGGTGCAGCTGGGGGCATTGCCTAGACCCCACTGGCAATGGCTAGGGTAGAAGGTGGATTGAAAAGATGTGAGGCAGGGCACAGGTGTGAATGCAAGATCTCATGACAGTTTGAGACTGGGGAGAAATGAATAGGGACAGGAAGTCCATTTAGGCAACAATTGGTGCCACAGACCAGGGAACAAGTTGTGAGGGAGGGAAGCAAATAACTTGGAGTGAGAAGGAAGGGGAGAATGGTTAGGGAGCTAGAATGGAGAATGGTTAGGGAGCTAGAATCCGTGGGGCTTGGGGATCACTTGGATGTGGGAGATGAGAGTGACTGGAGTGGTTGTTAGGTGTTCAGCTGGGGCACTAGACAAAGTGCAGTGCTGCTCACCCAAACAAGAGACTCAGAAGTTGGAGGAGATTTATTTATCCATTTATTTTAATGGAACAGATTTTTTTTTTTCCTTTTCCAGGTGGAGAGAAAATGAGCCCTCAGCTTTCCTGTAAGCCTCTACTAAGTGGCTTCCTGTCTGCATGAAACAGAAAGAAATTCCAGAATCATGCAAGTGGGGTTGGGACAGGGTGGGTAGTGTATGCTTAGGACTTGCCTTTTTTTTTTTTTTTTTTTTTGCCTCCATTGCTCTTGTATCTACAGAGCAACTACCTCCTTCTCTACTGACTTGTACGCACAGAGTCCTGATACTGGAAAGACCCTCTCTTTGTGTGGAAAGAAATGCTGGGCACAATGAAGTGATGCACCTGTGTTCATGCCGTGAGCTGGGATGTGAATGCTGATTGTAACCCAGGCCTGATTCTTATTCTTCTCCCCTTCCCTTCCATGCCTCCTGTAGCTCCTTTCTGTTCCCTGCCTGCTTTCTTAGAATGGGCCTAGGGATACCATGAGGTTTTGGTTATTCCCTATTCAAACAAGCAAACACAAAGCATTGTCTGTGTACAGCCTTTAAAGTATGCAATACCATTTTCCAGTTACTGCCTCCCTTCAGCTCCAGTTTTCTCCTCTTCCATCCAGGGTGAAACTGGTCCACAGAGCAGTAGTGTGATCTTCCCAAGGTCTCATGACCAGGAAGAAGAGGTGAGACCTGGATCTGAAACCAGGCTTCCTGGATCTTTCTCTATTTCTAATGTGGGGTTGAAATCATGTCCTTGGTGCCCCCAAGATAACATATATAAGCTTCTAACACATAGCAGCTACCCATTTGGCGCTATTTTCCTCTCTTTCTCCTCTGATCTCTTTCTATCAAACCATGCTGTTGCTCCCAAAGTTCCTCCAGCCAGTACTTTCCTGAGGAGTTCCTGGATTACTCTGTGCCTTTATAGAAAAACAAGAATGGTAAATACACTTCTTGCAGCCCAGACAATGTCTCTAATTGCTCTGAGCGTACATCTCATGTCCGTCAGGATAAAGTTCAGAACCTTAACCTGGCATCAAGGTATTCCACATGCACTCCAGCCTCTCTAATTCTGCCTTCTCTTTGAAACCATTCTGAAAGCACTGGGCAGAGTTCCTTGTCCTCTCAGTTATAGCTCTACAGTTAAAGCACTTAAACCCTCAAAGTTATTGTCTATTTGGGAAACTGTACCCACCCCAAGACTGTGCTGCTTGAGAGTCAGATAAGCCTTATTTACATCATTTTCCTCTATGAATCAGCACAGAGCCTGGCACAGGTAAGTACTCAGTAAATATTTGTTGAATTAATGCCACAATCGATGTATACATAAATCAGTGACTCAATGAATGAGGGTAGTGATACCTGCCCTTCATGAACTTGCAGAGTTAGTGTGGTACAGATGCAAGATGTATAACTATAAGGTTCCAGACAGATACAGAGCATTATTCCCATGGGTTTATAAGATGGACCTTGAAGAGTTAGCATGTGTGCTCACATAACCTGTATTGGCTGCTGTAGGTGCTGCTCTTCGGGTAGCAGGGCCAAGGAGAACCTTGCAAAGTAACCTCATGTATCTTTATGGAAGGAACCATGTTGTAGTTTCTGAATGGAGCTTGGCATAGACAAAGCATGCAGTTCATAGTTAGTATCAATAGTGGCAGATTCAAACCATGGGGCAGTGTGTATTCCATGCAGTGAGTCACCTGGAAATTCCAAAAAGCTCAAATTGATCTTATCTTCCTAACTTCACTCAAATTTTCTGAGTCTCAGTTTTCTCAGCTCTAAATGGAGCCATAATAGGGACCACCTCCCAGAGTGATTGCGTAAGAATTATGCAGATTACACAATGTATGGCTGTGGCTCCCAAAAGTTCCTCCAGTTAATGCTTTCCTGAGGAGTTCCTGGATTACTCTGTTCCTTTACAGAAAACCAAAAATTGTATATAGACTCAAGCATTGCCTGTGTACAATCTTTAGAGTATCTAATGCCATTTTTCAGTTATTACTGCCTTTCAGCCCCAATTTTCTCCTCTTTCATTCAGGGTGAAACTGGTCCACAGAGCAGTAGAGTGATCTTCCCACGGTCTTCCTAGTGACAACTGGTTGGAGCAATGTTCGCTCTCTAGCTAGTATCTAGACATAGAGTAATGAGCATCAACCAAGTATGTGCCCAGGCTTGAGAATCTGCCCTATAGAAGTACACAATATTACATTAAATATTTACAAAGATCTCACTTTCCAACTTGGGCCTGGCAGAGTGGCTCCCGCAAAGAAGGGTGGTGAGAAGAAAAAGGGCCATTCTGCCATCAATGAAGCAGTGACCGGAGAATACACCAACATCATTCACAAGCACATCCATGAAGTGGGCTTCAAGAAACATCCCCCTTGGACATTCAAAGAGATCTGGAAATTTGCCATGAAGGAGATGGGAATTCCAGATGTGTGCATTGATACTAGGTTCAACAGACCTGTCTGGGCCAAAGGAATAAAGAATGTCCCATACAGTATCTATGTGCAGTTGTCCAGAAAACGTAATGAGGATGAAGATCCTCATTAAGTAAGTTGTATACTTTGGTTGCCTATGTACCTGCTACCGCTCTCAAGAATCTACAGACAGTCAACGTGGATGAGAACTAACCAGTGATTGTCAAATATATCAAAGTTATAAAATTGCCAAAAAAAAAAAAAAAAAAGACCTACAGGAAGCTGCTCTGAAGAGGAGAGCCATGGGCCACATGTCTTCATTCCTTCAGTCTGCATGGTTGATTCTGGTCTTGTCGGGTTTAGAAAACAGCTTCATTTATTAACAGAAGGGCATAGGGCTGAGAATGGGCCCTCTGGAAGAAGGCAATTTGAAAGAGATAGGTCCTCAAGACCCCAGCCAAGAAACCTAAGGTGTCAGACCAGGCACTTGTCAAAGCAGGAAATGAGACTTGTGTCAGGAGTGAGGGGGAGGCTGGGGTATCAATGAGTACATCTTGTCCTAGATGGAGGTGTTCTGTAGCAGCCCAGGGGCAGAGAGCTGACTCACCAGACAACAGACACAGTAGCAGTGACCAGCACATGACTGCTCTCAGAGAGGAGACGGTATTGGACTATGCTTCTAAATTATGTACCACACTGCTGCATTGATTCAGGTAAGGCAGGGTAGGGCTGGACTTGTAAGCTGAAGGCCTTGTGGGTTGCTGGAGATTTGGCCTGGGGAAAGTAGGAGCTGACAGCTGCAGTCTCACTTTTTGTACAGACACAGGTTAGATATATTCTCTGCTTGACTCGAAGCTATTGTGTTGGCAAAGACCCTGTCCCAGTCTTTGGTTTTCTCTGTATTAGTGGAACTAAGCATGATGCCAGGCACATGGGAGGTGTTCAGTAAATCACTGCAGAATTTAGGAATAAACATGTAGAGCTGGGGAATGTGTGTTTTAGGGTGGGGGAAGGTGGACACGTTGTCCTAAGAAAAGTATAACTCTAGGATTTGAAATCTTATCCTCTTCAACCTGAGACCTTCTCAGGTAATCGTAGACAGGATTCATGAACACACTTCCAGGGCAAACACATTTCATGTTGATGCAGAGTATCTGGGACTTGGAAGAAACAACTCCTTATCTGAAGGATAATTTAGCAATTAGGAGCTGAGGCCTAACAGAAGGTTACCTAACATGTCTGTGTCTGCTTTCTCATCTGTAAAACAAGGGGCTAATGCCTGTTCATGGGGTAACTGAGGAGTTGGTGAGATGATGTGTGAGAAATTAGCAGTCCACAGCACAGCTTGATAAATGTTTGTTGAATGGCAAATGCCATTCTGGTGACTAAAGTTCACCATGGCTCAGTTCTGCTTTCTGCCTTGACTCATCCTCCTTGTTGTCTGCCAAAAATCATTCTGTGCCCAACCTGGTTCCTTCTCAAACTAAGAGGTCCATTCACAACACTAGCTGGCATCAGGTAGGAAGCCACCCTTGGTCATCTGCTGCTCATCCTCGGGGGACAGACAGTGATGGACAGGCAGACTCTGAAAGTGGAGCTGAGTCTTGAGCACTGAGCATGTCATCCATCATTGAAGCCACTTCGAGAGGAGAGGAAAGTAGTCAGTAGTGTCACCTACTGACTGGCACTGCTGGTAGCAGGGGGTCTTATTTTAGCAATGCCTCTGAGCTCATGCAAGTATCATTGGGAAGCAGGATTAGGTTTGCTAAATATATAATTAAATAAGATGAAATATCAGAGAAGAGGTACAGATGAAGATTATGGAGTTATAAAACAATAGATTGGGAAAAGGCCATGATGGTTTCTTTATATATTCCCTAAGAAAAATAACAAAGCAGCAAATTTCAACTGTAGAGAGCACATGTAGAAACCCACAGGGAGAATCATTAGTGGGTTGAAGGCTGGGATGCATCACTGAAGAGAGAAAGAGAGGAGAATCTGCATTTATTGGCTGCATGGTCTGAGCCAGGCCCTTCCCATGTACACTGTAGTCCTACATGGGAAAGATTACTATTTCTGTTTTAGTGAAATGGAAACTAATGCTCAGGTTTGTTAAGTAACTCGCACACACCCATGATATTTGTGAGTGTCAGAGCTTGGCCTTGTATGTCCAAAGGGCATTGTTCTATGGAGTCACACTGTCCAATAGCCCTTCTGGTTTATAAAGAAACTTTAAATCTTGTCTAATTGTTTCAGCAAAGATCAGAGAAGGACTTCAGGGTGAACCTTTTACTTAAAGAGGGTGTTTGGAACACTTTAATCAAATTTCCATTGTAGTCTATCAATCATCTACCACTCTATGTATGTTTTTGACATGTTCCCATAATGGCCTAGTTGCCCAAACCATGGCTCTATTGACAGGTGCATTCTCCTTTATTTCTCTAAAGCATGAGGCTCGACCAACCCCATCTCTGTTCTTGTTTGGCTCTACCTGTCATCAGCCATAAACTAATCCCATACTCCCAGCTTTTCCCCCTGTTAAAAGCTCCCAGCTCCAATACAACTTCCAACATGGAAGCCAGAGTGATCTTCTCGAATTCTGGATCTACTAATGTCCCAACTTTGCCCTCACATTTAGAAGGGTTATCTCTTGCCACCACATTTTATCCAGTTCTGTGGTCTGGAATTCAATTTATCCATTTTTTTTTTCAGTGTTTCAAAAAACAAAACATTGGTTTTTTTTTTGCTGTCCCAGATAAGAAAGATTTGCTTAACCAAAGGTCATAAAAATTTACTCCTATCTTCTCTTCTAAGAGTTATATAGTTAGTTATAGTTTTTGCATATACGTCTGTACAAATTTTAAGTTATTTTTTATATATTTATTTTTAGATGTTACATCATTTGATTAATACAATAAATTTACTCTATTTTCTATTAACATTTCCATTACATACTGCAGTTTTATAGAGAATACATTGATTTGTATGTATTTATTTGTAACCATTAGCCATTCTAAACTCAAGGAAGATTTTTGTTTGTTTGTTTTTTCAGGGTTAAGAAACAGAAAATAATGATTAATTTTTAAATCTCCCTTTTTGAATAGTTATATTGCTTTTTACTTTATTTTTCTGACTTAAACAAACATCCTAAATAATGTTAAATAATAATAGGTGATAGTGGACATCTGTATCTTGTTCTCAAATTTAGTGGTAATGAACCTGGTGTTTGTTCGAAATTGACTTCAGATATTCTTTACCATGTCAAAACTATTGCTCTATTCCTTCTCTACTATTTCTAGTTGAATCCAGACAGTATAGTAAATTTATTGTTATCTGTTTTTTGCTCTGTTAATCACTTAATGAAATGATGTAATGCAGTTATCAACATTTTCAGTATTGAACCATCCTTGCATTTCTGGAATGAATCCTGCTTAGTCATAGTGCATTATTCTTTTAAGATACTTCTGGTTTGGAACTGCTACCATTACATTTATGATACTTGCACAAATGATATTGCCCCACATCAATATATGACAAATTCCCTTTCTTGGACCAAGCCAAACTACATTTAAAAAGTAGGTAAACAAGGAAAGGCCTAGATGAGGCTTCAGGATCTAATTTTTACTTATTTTAGAGAGCCTGATAATTGTTCATGTGACAAAGTGCTTATATCACAGTTTCTCATTTTAAGGTCCTGCCCTATTTTGGCAAAGCATTGAAAGGAAGTACTAAAGCATCACAGGGCAGTCTCAGTAAAATAAAACTACAATAATACAGTAGTTATACAAACTACAATAATACAGTAGTTATACGGTAGTTATACAATAATACAGCAGTTATACAATAATACAGTAGTTCTGCAATTGTATACAGTAGTTATACAACCAAGAAAACTACAATAATACAGTAGTTAAGTGTTTATGGTATGCCATATGATACTATACTTGACACTTTACATATATTAGTTCTCCTCCTCCTCCTCCTCTTTGGCAGGACAACTTATTGGAATATTAATTAGTGTTTTCTATATGATTGATAGAAGGTTGGAAAAAATGTGTATGGAATATATGTTCTTTTTCCCTGAGGGCATTATTAGAGGCTTTTGTGTTGCAGCCCTGAAAAGAGAAGACATCTAACAAAAATGCCCTTATCTACTCCCACTCTCAGGCCTTTGTTTGAAGAATGTATTGAGATATTGAGGGAAGCTGGCATATGAAGTGGAGAAGGAGGCAGAACTGGCCCTACATGTGCACACACGAACACTGCCTTCTACTGAGATTGCAAGGTAAGTGAAGGTTATCATCCTAGAGCCTAGGGTGGGGGAGCATGCTGTGGCAGGTCCCACCAGTGCCAGGAACTCACACAGCACCTGAGGAGTGCCAGGGTCTTTGATGGGGTGGTCCATGGTGCCATGAAATTGATCACTGAGAGGCAAAGCCTTAGGATATTTGCAAAAAAAAGCCTTAGCGTGATGGCAGAGTTCTGTGTTTGTGAATGGAAACATTTTCATTTTACATCTCAGTGAATAGCTGTGGATTTAAAAATAGAGTATACTCTTCCATTTTTCAGGTGCCATGGAAGTATCCTGGGTCTTTGTATGCAGCCTAGAAAGGAGGTGAGTGTTCCCTCCCACTCTATCTTACAAAAGTTGCACCTCAGTCGTAGGGAGCAAATTCCTGTCTTCTAGCTATACAATTCTCATGCTAACCTTAGAAAGTTTTTAATCATTATCCCATTTTTAGATAAGAAAATGAATATCCGAAGAGACTAAGTACCTGGTCTGAGTAACTGGATGTTATCTCAAGTTAACCTCCTTTCTCATGGCTGAACAATTATACTGTGCTGCCTTACATTAAAAAAAAAAAAAAAGCTATTCCTTACTAAGGGACTACTTTATGTAATGCACAGGGCTAGATGCTATATATATATGTATGTATATAAAATTTCAAGGAAGTCCTTCCTATTATAATAATCATTTCATCTTATGATAAAGTAGAAGATGGAGAATTATTTGGTAGTTGTTAGACCCAGTGTTTAGTCCCAGTTCTGCCACTAGCTTTGTACATTAGTTTCTTCATCTGTGACCTGAGAATAACAAAATTTGCCTTTTGATATTATCATGAGTACTGAGTGAAGTATTAGAAATAGCAGGATCTTGTTAACTGTAAAAAGATGTGCACACATGGACCCTGCCTTTTACTGAGACTGCAATCTATACTGGTCGTCTCAACCAAGCGTCTCTCTTCAGCAGTTACTAAGATACTGAGGTATACATTACAACGCAGAGGGGACCAGGATACCACGAGGTGGACACTAGCCTTGGAAACTGATTATTTATATTTGTGTGTAGTCTCCTTGAAGCAGAGGTTAGGTCAGACATAGCTCTTCTGGGTCTGGCAAAGTCAACTGGAAACCGCTAATGGCCAATCATCCTATAAGATTGCTTCTTTCCAGTCCTCTGCATTCAGGGAAGCCAAACAAACAAGGCACTTTCATCACCACTCCAAGGAATCTATCTTTGACAGCTTCCAGACAGCAGACATATTGGAATATATAGTCCATCCATAGAACCCAGAAGGTGATCTCCCAGTAGAGATCAAGCCATCTCAAGAAAAGTCCAGAAAAACTCCCTGAGCAGATGTCTGCCCTCAGGATAACATTGAGGCAGATGTTTGTGCTCTGAGGTCACTGCATGGTATTGGCTACATCCAGAGTTGCTCAGGACAAGCTGTTTGTTAATCCAGGCTAGTAAATGAGGGGGTGTCTAAGGTATTTGTTAAAGAGTCACCGAAGTCACCCTCATTGGGCCAAAGCTTGGTAGAACCCAGGAAGTAGCCAGATTATGCCAAAGGCAATGGGGATTTCAGGAAAAAAGTTCAAAGAAAATCACTGAGATTTAACAATAGATTTCTTTTTCCATCAATATTGGGAAAGTGTGCCTGGTGAAGAAGGCATTGGGGGACCCAATAAGTACCATGAAGGTTACAGACATCTTTTACTCTTTCTTTGCTTATTCTGTACTCCAAGACTTGACAATGCCTTGTATATACTTGGTACTCAATAAATGTTAGTTGGCAATTGAGCGAATGAGTATTTGGGCAGTAAGTGGGATGGTCCCAGTTGTTGTATGTAAATCTCTGTACAACTTAACAGTTGCTTGCTTATGGAGAAATAAATTTTGCACTAACCCCCAATTTTTTTCTCATGAGGACTCACAATGCCAGATACAAAGAAGGAACCGATTTAGGTTGTTCTAGACTCAAGGGTTCTGGGTTCCAGTTTCAGCCTTAGAGCTATTCTGAATCTTCACCTGTCTACTTGCATGAAATAGAGAAATCATGTAGTCAGTTTTCTTATCTGAAAATTTAAAGTGGTATTTCTTACCTCATGAGGCTTTTTTTTTTCATAATTCCGTGAAAAAATGTGTATGCTCTGCCAGTACAGTTTGTGTAGGGTTGCAATTAGGAATAAGAGAAACATGCTTTGGCATCAGAATGTGTTCAGATCCTGGGTCTACCACATAGAAGCTGACTGTTCTTAGGCTAGTCACTTAAAAATTCTCTCAGTCTCCTATTCTACATCTCTAATAAAAGGATAGTAATAATACCCACTCCATTGAGTTGAGGGGATAATGATTGCAAAGTGTTTATACTGTCCAGAATATAGTAAGTGCTTATTATTTTTAGAAAGAGGAAGCAATTTCTCATTTGGATATCAGATTTTGATAAGATAAAGATGCTTACTATTCCTTAAAGATTTTTCTTCTTCTTTTAAAAAATAAACTTAAGAACATAGTGAATCCACAACATGGAGTTTCACTATTAAAGTCAGCATTTCAAATTTTCCTTTTGCTTCCTTTGGAATGGAACACACCAAAAACATGAAAAGACTTTATAAACTGCATAACATCTTCTGCTCTTTCCCAGGTCTTCGGGATATAATTCAATTTCATGATGCAATTAAGAAAGAAGTCTAAACCAAAGGACACTTACCGCACTGCAGCAACATGTGGCTATTTATCTAGCGTGATTTCACAGAGAATTTTTAGGTCATCCAGGGTTTCTGTGCCTGTAGTTTTTCATCTCTCAAAATGGGATTCCTGACTCATAGTGTGGGGCGAGGCTGAAAATGCATGGTATATATGGAAATGCTTTCTAACTGGAAGGTGACTAAGGACACAGGTACTGTGGTGTGGTCCTCAGAGCAAATCCTTTGTGCTTCTTTCTTTTTTATTATACTTTAAGTTCTGGGGTACATGTGCAGAACGTCCAGTTTTTGTTACATAGGTATGCATGTATAGGTATGCGTGTGTCATGGTGGTTTGCTGTAACCATCAACCTGTCATCTACATTAGGTATTTCTCTTAATGCTATCCCTCCCCTAGCCCCCCACCCCCTGACAGGCCCCAGTGTGTGATGTTCCACTCCCTGTGTCCATGTGTTCTCATTGTTCAACTCCCACTTATGAGTGAGAATATGCAGTGTTTGTTTGGTTTTCTGTCCTTGTGTTAGTTTAGTGAGAATGATGGTTTCCAGCTTCATCCATGTCCCTGCAAAGGACATGAACTCATTATTTTTTATGGCTGCATAGTATTCCATGGTGTATATGTGCCACACTTTCTTTATCCAGTCTATCATTGATGGGCATTTGGGTTGGTTCCAAGTCTTTGCTATTGTGAATAGTGCTGCAATAAACATACGTGTGTATGTGTCTTTATAGTAGGATGATTTATGATCCTTTGGGTATATACCCAGTAATGGGATTGCTGGGTCAAATGGTATTTCTAGTTCTAGATCCTTGAGGAATCACCACACTGTCTTCCACAATGGTTGAACTAATTTACACTCCCACCTTTTGGGTCCCTGGTGGTTGAAACACCTTGTAAGCATCCTCCTCTTTCCTGCTTAACGAATCAGCCTCAGGTGTCAGGAAGCTTATGATTTCTTTTTCTGCCCTGATCTCTGCCCCTCTGAAATTGCAGCATTTTCATGATCTTCTTCCTTTCACAACTGCCATCTTCTTGTTCTGATACCAAGAGGCTGCTCATAGAAATTTTGAAAGTCAAAATTCTCAGTTACATATTCCTGCTGCTTTGTAAACTTAACAACTGACTGATGGCATCCCATAGGAAAGACTGCTCTTGCAAGCAACTGGCTCAACAACCTCCTCTCATCATTTTTCTCTTGCTTTCTGTGAAGACCTAGGGAGTTTGAATGAATCCCTTGTTTAGGGCTTGGGGAGGACAGCCCAGCTGGAGGGCCCACAGGGCTCAAAACCCAGCAGATTCATCAAGCCAGGCTCCCTAGAGGCAAGCCTAGGTCCAAATACCTGGTTGTCTATGTTGTACTCTCTTGTTTTTCCAAATGCTGCTCTATGTCTAACTTTATTTTCAGAACATTGTGAGATAGGAATAATTTCCTGTTTTTCCAAATTAGAAACTCAAGGCTCAGAGAGGTTCAGTAACCTCTCTGAAATCACACAGGTAAGTGACAGAGCTGAAATTCAAGTGCAAATCTGCCTGACACCTAACCCCACATTCTTTTCCCCAATAACAAAGGACCTTCAGACAGTGAGGACAGTGAGAATTAAGATAAATTTACAGGCTGAATCCCAAAAATATTTTGCTTTGATAGTAAATAAATTTTCCAAATGAAAACAAAGTATTAATGAATAATAATATCTAAAACAAAGTATTAATGAATAATAATATCTTAAAGAATTTTGAATGCTGGGAATGTTGGTGATAGCGTTAACAAAAATCAGCAGTTGCATCAGCTGGGCAGTTTTCCTCCAGAATATTATAGTCTCAAACAGCCAGAGGTTATTTCTGATTACATCAGCAGCCAGGCAGATCCAGTTTAGGAATCTCGAAACCACATATGTGACTCACACGTCATTGTTATAACAGTAGGAAACACATTAACTCTGCTTTAACAAGCGTTCATTGAAAAGTCGGGTTTCCAGAAACCAGTTTCTTGGTGTACTTGGAGCACATAATCTAAGCCTTTTTCCTGATGACAGTGTCCTTGCGTGAGGCTGTACATTATGGGACCTGACAGCTTAACAAGACAATATCTGCTTTTACAAACTCCGTGTCCTAGCACATTCCATTGAAGTTATAGCAGGTGACTAATGAGTATTTCACCACCATGATATTTTGAGTTGCAAGCTATAGGGACTATCATTTGACTGAACAATACCTTAAAAATGTTTGCAAACATTGTAATAACAAAATATTTCTGTTGAAGTCATAGAAAAGAGTTCCTTCGGTCTAGCTCAGAACTGTCAATAATGCTGGTCTGTTACAGACATTTTTGAATGATGGAAGATGGCACTTACGGTTTTCCAAATACATGAAGTTGATTCTTTTTTTAAGCTGTATATGCTTAAAATGAGAATTTTTTCATAGTTGGATGACCAATGTGGGGGTCTCAAATACTTATCCTCTGGTGTTGGCGTGGAAGTTGAAGACCCAAAGCATAGTCTAGAAAATGGAAACTGCAGGGGTCAGAAATTATTACACTTAGATTCAGCCAAACTTGGTTTCCATGTCACATCCTACTTCTCTCCTGGCTACTTGATCTAGGAAAAGTCACTGACCTTCTCTGTACCTTAGCTTTCATGGGAAAATAATGATACTTTACAGGAGAATGTGTGAGGATTAAAATAAGGTGATAGGTAGAAGGTTCCCAGTACATAGTAAGTGCTCGAAAATATAGTCTCATTCATTCGTTTGTCTCCATGGGAGCAGTGGACAACCAGATAGATAAACAGAGAAACAAGTTCTGAAGGCAAGAGACGAGGGCTGATAGAGAATGTGGAAGAGGAAATTTGGTAGAACCTGAGTTACTGAAGGGGAAAGAGGAAGGACCCAGGAGCCCAGTCTTACTGAATGCCTACCACTGTGTGCCAGAGATTAGAAGGGGTGTCAGAGGAAACAGGATAAACTCTTTTAAACAGACATGAGAGTCCAACTTGTGTGGGCTGGTTTGACTTAAGAGTGATGTTCCCTGGGGTTTTCTCTTGCCTGCCTTTTTAGGTGTTACAGGGAGAAGGTGAAAGGAACATATGCTTTTGTTTACTCCAGGGAGGAAAAAAAGCGAGAGAAAATAAACA
This sequence comes from Homo sapiens, assembly GCF_000001405.40. Taxonomy (NCBI): domain Eukaryota; kingdom Metazoa; phylum Chordata; class Mammalia; order Primates; family Hominidae; genus Homo; species Homo sapiens. Next base: position 108,050,496 of record NC_000009.12, read on the forward strand.
GGACCTAATGCTGGGCCATTAAAACTTGGATAAAATTGAAATGGCAATGTCTTGAGATTTCCTTGCCATGTTATAGGTTCCTGGGCATAAAATGATGGAGCACCAGGGGTCTTGTAGTTATTAGTAGAAAATTAAATGCAAGCACACCCACAAAGATAAAGACCTGATTTGATAGTCCTATAGATTTTGGATTGTTTACTGTAAAGGGAAGTAAGAGCAGCTTTATTTGGGTTTGGATTTGTGTTTGCAGAGGAGTTTTATGTGGGTGATTTTGCATATAATATCTACCTTCCAAGAGATGCCATCATCTGCAGAACGGAGAGACGTGCTCCAGACTTGCTTATAAAAATCTTTATCATCTTTTGGGAGGTGATTGATTTGACTAGTCTTGATGGGCAGCTGGATAGAAAATTCTAGTGGAGGGGATGTGACCAAGCTCATATGCCGACAGAGGCGCAGCAAACAAGACTTTGCAGCAGCCACTATAAAGTGGCTTCAAGAATTTACTTGAACAGTGTCCATCGAAATGTGAATGTATACCAAACAGCCAGTGTGGACTTAGACTGGAGGACTTAGACTGGATTATGCACTGGGGTGTGGCATGAGGCAGAACCTTCCCAGTCCCACCCTACCCCAGAGTTTATTAAAAGATTGTTGACTGTTTCTTACTATACAGATACCAAGTAAGTTATGTTAGAAGTACATCACGTCTGGGCCAATAAAACCCATTGTTTGGGGATGACACAAGTGAATGAGTGGACATGTTGATGCTCTGGCCAGATCCTCTCAGATCCCTTTTACATTTCTGTGTATCCCTTCCCTGGCTTCTGGGTGCCTTTGTATCTAACAGGCAGTGCCCTTGGACTACTAGAGCCACTTTGCCCAGGAGCTCAGAGAGCTGGAAGCACCCGAGTTTGCAACCTGCTGGAGTGGCCCATGCCAGTGATGGACTGTAATAAAGAATATGAACCCTTAGCCACCTTGCCTCGAGTCTGAATGAACTCTAAGGTGTAATTTCCTCTCTATAGACTCCCTGTGGGATCAGACTGAGGCTGCACACTGACTGACTGAGATTGTACCTTGCTTGATGTCTTCCCCTTTCCTTTCCTGCTTCCTGAGCTCCTCTGCTAGGCCGTCCTGGGAACTCTCCCCTAATAAATCACTTGCACTTGAATTATCATCTCGAGGGCTTCTCAGGAAACTGACCAAAGGCAGTGCATTAATCCAAATGCTTCATATTGAAATGGGGTGTGTGTGTGTGTGCGCGCGTGTGTGCAACTTCATTATTCTGAGCCTCCTTCCATGGCATGAAGGGGGCTTGTTGGATAAGGAGACCTTAGTTCCCTCTGAAGGGATAAAGTTGATTCTTTCCATCCCCATGAGGGGAGCAAAGCAGGGATCCCTAGGATGGGTTGCAGCCTGTCAATGTTAAGACCATCCACAGCCCTGCTAGGTGCCATGAAGAAGATGGTGCTCTTTTAACTCAACTCATCATGAATCAAGGGAGAGGGAGAGAGTGTGGGAGCCGGCAGCCTGCTGTTGCTTAGGGTTGGGGAATGCAAAGTGTCCTGCGACCTCTATAGCAGCTACTGTTTCAAGCCTTGGCAGCTGGAGGTGGTTATTACAAGTGGCCACCTTCACGAATGTGGAGAATACACACATTTTCCCTGAGAATTCCTAGGAAATAATGGGGACATGACATTCTGCTATTTTTCAAGAGATGGCTATCAATTCAATATTCATTTAGACCACATTACCACACATTTCTAATAACCCAAAAAAATAAATAAATAGATGCAGGCTTATTATTAGGCTGGGCTGCCTCCAGGGATTGGAGACTCGCCATCAGTGGAAACATCCAAAGAGGGATGGGATGGGAGGGGCTCTTGTGAGGCACCTTGTAGCTGGGATTCCAACATCAACTGAGTGAGAGGGAATAACCTAGGTGATCCTTTCAACTCCCAGGAATCAGCAATTCCATAACTAAGGAGAGCATGAGCATGGCAGGGACACTGTGGCATTTGCTGCTTTTCCCCACAAGGGAATACGCATCATCATTTACCACATTCCTCATAACTCCTCCTCCTGAGTCCCTGCTAAGGAGTGACAGGGATTTAAGCTGGATAAGACAAAGGTTCCGAATCCTACAACTCAGCAGGAAGGCAGAAGAAAACAATTCCCTCTTTCATCAGGAGCTGGGGTTTCGTCAGTTGCCTGGTCTACCCGGCTTTTATTGCACAGGGTTGGGGATCATTGGAGGTTTGGGACACATCGCAGGCAGGCTTGGCCCTGCCATGTCTTCACTCCAGGCAGACATCTATTACCCCATCTTCCCCTCCAGTCCTTGCAACAACACTTAATTACGTGACACTCTGAGCTCCACCACCACTTGCCTCACCTGGCTCTATCCTGCAGGCTTGCCTGCTGTGTTATTCCTGTAGGATACACAAATTTTATCTTGGTGCTGCTGCTCCCATGTGAGACTGAGTTTGAGCTCCATCGATGATGAAGAAAGGGTAACAAACACATGCAGAGAAAGTGAGAAGAATGGACACTGGAGCCAGGTGAAACCAGCCACCTCAACTTTTTTAACTTCCTGAGTTTGACTGGGTCTTTGAATGACTAAAGCCAATTTGGGCCCAGATCTTATTCATGAAACTTACATTTCAAATATACGACGTTTCCTCTTCAATGCAAATACTCACTCTAGGCTCTGAGCTGGGGTATCCAGGGTCTCCTCATGACATGGTGGCTGGAACTCATCCCTTGTCTTGGAAATTGTCAAAAGAGCTGAAAATTCTGGAAGGAGCAAGAGGCAGAAAATAAATCTGTGCCTACTTTGGAGTAGAACGACAAGGATATTCCTCCTCTGAGGGAAGCCATGGGATCTGGGATGCTCAAAGCTAACTATCGACAGAAGTTACCAAATGGAGCAGAGGAGAATAATCAACAGTTTCATGGAAACCTCTTAGCTGTAAACCCCTTATTTTCACAAGTCAGGGTGGTTATGGAAAAGAGGGGAGCAGATCTGTGCCCTTGACCTACCCTCCTAGACAACGCAGCCTGGAGAAGAGAGGGTTAAATGGTGTGTGGAGGACTTGAGCTATTCTCCCTCTCCATTCACCCGAAATCCCACTGGGATATTCTAATCTCCTTGGAACACGCTGCATTATCTGTACTTTCAGCACAGCTCACGTTTCAAATGGCAGGCTGCAGAGCAATCTGATTGTTTTATAGGCCCAGCCAAGAGAGGAGCTCCAGTTCCTTTCTCCTGGCCAGGTGCCCTCTTTGAGGGAGAAGACCTGCGGTGTATAGAGACTAGCCAAATGCTTAAAGATTTCAGAAACTTCAAAGGCAGGGGAGGAGCCAGAAACAATAAAAAGGAAAATGATAAACATTCAGCTTAAAGACGGGCTGAGTTAAAATCCCTGAGAAATCACTCCGAGCAGTTAGAGGCCGATTCTCAGAGGCCCGTGGCAGCGTTCCATGGTGTTACACAACGTTCCAAGAAGCAATTATTAGCTTTGTTTTAGTTGTGATTAATACAGTTAACGACTCGTAGAGGTGGAAAGACAATGGAAATGAGGAAGACGAGCACACAGAAAGGGGTCCCTGCTCCAGCCCAGCACTCTCTGACAAATAAGGGGAGTTCATCCCATCTTCAGGGTGTCTAGGAGGTCTTCACCCATTTCGAAAATTCAGTTTTGGAACTATTTGATAAGGAGAAACACAATTTTTTTTTTTAAACAGCCCAAAGCCCTTGCTGTTGAATAGCAAAAGGAAATCTGCTTTATTAAGGGGCTCTTCGCTTCCTGTGGGCAAAGCTTTGCCATGGGGCTCGACATCATTAAGGTCATGTCTGCACAAAGACCAGGAGAGAGAGAGTGATCAGCTGGAATGTTTAGGTCCAAAATATTGGAAGAGCTCAGCCTGATTCTCATGGGGGACTTAAATAGCTCAAGTAGAAAAAAAAAATCAGTAGATTTAAATCAGTGCAAAACTCTGTGTGAGCATTTACTATGTGCCTGACACTTTTCTAGGGATGTATTTTGTTCCAGCAGGCAAGACAAAGATTCCCTTTTCTCATGAAGGTCACATTCTAGAAGGAGATACAGACACAAAATAAAAGCCACAATGATACATCATAGGTTAACATGGACTGTGCTATGGAAAAGAAGAAAGCTAAGCATGGGAAGGAGTGTTAGGAGTGCCAAGGGCTACCTGGGGAGGCAGGAAACACAACAAAATGGGTGGAGATGTTGGGCTTCATCAAGATTGGGAGATCCAAGCAAGGCATGGAGGAGGTGATGAGGTCAGCCTAGAGGTTTCTAGGGGGCATCCAGGAAGAGTGAGGGACAGTATGCCTCAAAGGGGCAAGTCAGGAATGTGCTGTGTGTCAAAACAGCAACAAGAAATCCAGCGTGGCTAAGGTGAAATGAGTACTGAGGCAAGAGGATGGAGGCTCAGAGAAACACAGGGTTGAAGGGAGGGCCTGAAAAGTCTTAGAGCCATTGTGAAGATATTGCCAGAGTAAAATATTGCAAACACAATGTCTCAATACTCTAGGAGACTTGAATAGCTTAGACAGAAAAATAAGAAATATTTACATATATACAGAAAAAAATCATGTCATTGTTATCTTCAAGAAGCTCACAGTCAACTGGGAAAGATAGATAAGTAAACATAGAATAATAATCTTACATGTGATAAGTAGATACTACAAAAGACAAACGCTTTGACTTGGGAGCAAAGGGGATGATTTGTGATCCTGTGTGGGGGAACCAGGGAAGATTTCCTAGAGGAGAGGACACCTGAGCCTATTAAGTTGAAAACAGTAAATTTGTTAGGCATTTTACCCTACACATTTGCCCACAAAGACACGTACACTCCAAGGATGTATGTGATTTGTCCCAGTTACCCTGCACCTAAAGTACCAGTCCGGTTTTACCTCCTACTAGAGCAATTGCCTTCCTGTGTGCAGACCCAGTTTGAGCTGTGTTTGGGGTTGTTTTCCTCCAGCTTTCGGCTGAGGTCATGAAATGAAAAGGCTTGGCCGCAACGGAGCTTCTTAGAAAACTCCGAGCTTGCCTTCTCCTGATGTTACTGGCTTCCCTCTGTAGGAGTGTTTCCCAACTGGGGACTCTCCTTCAATGAAAATCTAGACCGTGAACACTGTAAAGATGGCCCTGTGCAAATGAATTTCCCATGCTGGTAAATCTTACAGCAGAGCAAGGAAGACCTATAATCAAACAGAAAATATATGGGTAATTTAATTAGAGATTCACTGGAAACTTAAGGTGTTCAAGGTAAACAACCAGAACATTGAAATGTATTCTTCCTGGTAGACTAGAAAGTTTGCAAAGTTTGGTTTCAGGCAGCCCTGGGTACATATGCAGGTTCAATCACTTGCTAGCTATCTGATCATGGCCCTGTTTTCCTTCTCTGTTGCGTGAGATCATAATACTTGTCTTTCTGAGCTCCCAGGGCTATTCTGAGGATCATGAAAGTATGTGGTAAGCTGTAAAACACTATACCTGTGTTGAATGTTTTCCTTTTCAAAGTGACTTTAAAAAAAAAAACTTCATTGGTTTATTTAGTCAATATGACACACTTCTGCAATCTTTTGAATCCATGGAATTTTCATATTAGAAATTACAGCCCTCATGTTACAAATGAGCAAACAGGCCCAGAGAGGGAATATGATTTACTTAAGATTGCACAGCAAATTAGAGGTAAAGCTGGACCTGGGTTCCCTGACTCATCTTTCCGTGTTCTTTCAAATAAATTACAGTATATAATAGAAGATCATGTGAAGGAAGATTCTTCCTGCTTCTGACTCAGAGAGACAGGAAGTATCATTTCCTTCTGGGTTCTTCCACTGGAAGCACATTGCATTTCCTTCTATAGCAAACACTTTCACTAGTTTTAAAGGCATTCTTTTTTGATAAAAAAACCTCTTAATCCAGCACTTATGTAAAACTGCTTTCTTTAATTCTTCCAGTAACCCAGTAGGTTATTAGTAATCCCATTTTGCAGATGAGGAAACGGAGTCTCTGAAAGCTGAAATGACTGACCCAAGGTCACATCTAGGAGGCAGCAAAGGTGGAGCCCACCTTCGAAGGCATTGTGCCACTATGTCTTTCCACCACACCGAAACCGTATATGCTACTTTCTCTTTTACCCTCTGGCAGAATTTAGATGTCTGCATTAGAAAGGAGCTAATTAAAGAAAGCAGCTGAAACAGTGAAATCCATCTTTATGAATCAACCTAATAAGTAGAATTAAAATCGCAAATTAGACTTAGAGGATAACCTGATTTTTAAATTTTGTTACAAGATTGCAAAAAAAAAAAAAAAAAGATAATGTTTTCCATTTACACAATGACTTTTATCCAAAGCAGTTTCACAGATGTGATAGAGATGAATCATAGGTAGGATTTATGAGTGAGTCTAACATTTAGCAATGTGAGATGCCCTAGTAGAGACAGTGTCTGTGTAATAACAGGAGCACTGAAATCAGAACTGCTTTTATCAGAGATGCTTGGCAGATTAGATTCATTATTATTGTAAATATAAGAAAGTATAAAAAAATGAATAAAACTCGCCCAAGCCTAGATAGCTAGAAGCAATTATTCATGTTATTGTTGTATGTTTCTTCCTTCTCCCTGAACACTGCCTTTTAAAAACTTTGGCTGGGATTAGACTGTATGTGAATTTGCACTTGATGTTATTAGTATTACTTACTATGATATATAACATGCTTCAGAAAGATAATATTTAATGGATGAATCACATTCCATTACTGAAAATAAAAAATATATATTAAAGAAACACCCCCAAATGGGAGAAAAACAATGACAAAAACCAAATGCAGAAAAAAAAATAGTGAGGTGAGTTGCAGGCTTTAAAGCAAAAGATAAAGTCTTTACGAGAGAAGACAGAATAGACTCTTGTTTCAATGATACTCTGGCCTCCCTAGTTCTTGTTAACATTCCTGAGGCAACATTTTGGTTGACTCTTTCAAACTGGCTGTGTGTGCTTGTGCAGGGATTGGCCAGCCTTTTCTGTAAAGTGCCAGAGAGTGAATCATTTCGGTTTGAGGCAATACAGGCTGTGTAGCAACTACCCAACTTTGCCATTGTAGCCTGAAAGCGGCTATAGACAGTATATCAACCAGTGAGTATGGCTGTGTTCCTACAAAACTTTATTGACAAAAACAGACAGTGGATGGAATTTGGCTCTCCCAGGGGTATTCGTATATCAGTCTTTGCCTGGGCCTGGCTCTATGCTAAACTGTGTATAGATACAGAAAAGAAGGAAGTGTTTTGTCTCTGCCCTCAAGTAACTGGGAGAGATGAGAGAAGGCATCATTGCAATGTAGCATATGAAAAGCAATAAATAAGATGCACACCAAGTGCTGTGAGATCAAAGAGAAGGAAGCAAGCCGATCTCCTCTGGGCAATAAGGAAGTCCTCACAAATGAAGGGATCTAGCCTGAGTTGCAGAAACTGAGTAGGCATTTATCTACATGCGCCTGTTCAGTTGACTGTGTATTGGATTTCTTCTCCTATAAGGTTTGGGGGTGCCTCCATGAAAATTCCCAAGTCCTGGGCTTCGCCCAGACCAGTAAAATTTCCTAAGAAACTGGTGGGCACTTTCCAGAGCAAACTTTACTAAACCATTGCCCTGGATGATTTTTTATCCTTGTTTGATCAAGGTATGAAAACAGCAAAGCCGGTGCGTCTTTGAAGTCCTTCTGTGTTGTGTTTATTTGGTGTGTGTATACATGTTATACAAGGTACTAAGGATGAAATCACAGGGTGTTGTTACAAATTCCACCCCCAGCTATGGGGCAACTGCATTGTGGCATCCAGTCAATGCCATAATGAGTGCCTACTGTGTGCAAAAGGTGGTTTTCTGTCCAAAATAATGATCGATCCTCCGTTTCCAACACCACCCCACCAGCAGCAGCAGGACAATTGTCAAAGGGACAAAGGGTCCCGAAATGTTTGCTTCAGAGGGAGCAAAGAGAATGAGGAAGTGGAAAGAAGAGGTATTTGTTTTGGGGTGTGTTAACTGTTTCTCTTTTAGCAGGAATTTAGCTGAGGTGAGGGTTAATGATTCCATTTCTATTCTTGTTAAGAGTAACCAAGCTCTCCAGAGATTCTTGAAACAACTGTGCTATCTAAATACACAGTATTTTTCACATACTTTCACGTTAATCCCCCAGCTCTGTCTAAATCAGCTGCTAAGAAAAACTTAAAACAATTCCAACAGATTTCCTTTAGAGAGTGGTAAGGGAAAGAATTGAAGTTGGGAAAATGTGGCAGAATGCTAGAAATTTATCTACTTAGGTGTTGGATCCAGAAAATTAAAAAAAATTAAATATCATTAAAAGGTGATTAAAATTTAAAAATTAATGTTTAAGTCTTCTGCTTTGAAAATTATGAATTAGGGAGCATAATTTTTAAGTAAATAAATACTAGATACATAAGGAGAAGTTAAGAGAAAGACATTGAGAAGTACAGCAGATAACGATAAGGAGAAGAGCTAAGGCACGGGGGCAAAGAGAGCAGGATTGGAATCTATAAAAAATAAAAATACAAGTTAGAGTATTAGGGGAAGAGGTAAAGTTTAAGGAGAAAAAAATCAAAAATCAACTCTCGGTAAAAAGAGAAGAGTCAGGCTGGGCGCAGTAGCTCACACCTATAATCCCAGCACTCTGGGAGGCCGAGGCAGGTGGATCGCCTGAGGTCAGGAGTTCAAGACCAGCCTGGTCAACATGGTGAAACCCGATCTCTACTAAAAATACAAAAAGTTAGCTGGGCGTGGTGGCTCATGCCTGTGGTCCCAGCTACTTAGGTGGCTGACACATGAGAATCACTTGAACCTGGGAGGTGGGGGTTTCAGTGAGCCAACATCGTCCACTACACTCCAACCTGGCTGACAGAGTGAGACTCTGCCTCAAATAAAAAAAAAAAAAAAAAAGAATCAGAAGGGAGAGAAAAGGAAGAAGAGTCAGTTATTAAAAAGTTCAGAAGACATTACCATCTGGAATCTTCATGAGCAGGATGAAGACCTACTATTTTCAGCTCTTCAAGTTCTCATTCTTAAAGCTTCAGAGACTGATGTAAATGGGAACTGCCACTGCAGCCCCATGGGGAGTGTTTATTCTAGGTGGCTATGGCAATACCCAGAACAACCAGTTCAGAGGCTGAATGCAACCAAACCTAGGACCAGCTGTCCCCTGTTGACTGGAGATGGACCTCGTACTGGGGATTATTGATAATCAGCTCAACGTTCTGCATGTGTCTCCCATGAACAAGATTCTGAAGCCTGGGATTTACGTTGGACTAAAAGGTGGGCATTTTAAAGCATTTTACGGCAAAGAGAAGAGTCTCCCTTTGTGTCAAGAAAAAAGCCACACCAAAGAGCTAAGGAAAACGCATCTGAATTAACACATATATATTGAGCAGCTACAGTGTGCAAATCACTGCACTTATCCCTTCATACACACGTCATCTCATCTACTCTTCTAAACAATCCTGTGAAATAGTTATTATTGTCTTCATCTTCTTGGTGATGAGACTAAAGCTTGTTAACTTATATGTGACTTGTCCAAGGATCTATACCTATTAAGTAGTGGGAATGGGTTGGTCCCCAACACCAAAATCCAAGCACATTCCATCACTTCAGCCCCTCTAATTGTATAGCCCTACTACTAATCCAGTAGGAGAGAGGCTTTGGCTCTAGGGCCCACTGAACAAGAGGTTATCGGGGGAAACTTGGCAACATCTAGAGACATTTTTGTTTGTCACCTGACTGGGGTGTGCTACTGACGTCTAGTGGATAGAGGCCAGGAATGCTACTAAACATCAATGCATAGAAAAGTCCCCACAACAAAGAACTATCTGGCCCCAAAGGTCAGTCATCCTGAGGTTGAGAAGCTCTGCATAAGACGGAAGTCCCTGGCCAGAGCTGCTCTCCTAAAAGATCCATCTGTTACAGGGCTACTCAGATATAGCCAGAATACACAAACTTTAATACTTTAAGTGCCTTGGAGGCTCTCGGGGGGCGGGGTGGCGGGGGTGGGAAAGTCAGCTTTTCTGTTAGGTTTGTTGCCTAAATACAAGGCTTTTGGCCTTGCAACCTTCAATCCATTTTTTTTTTTAGTGCAGTGTATTAGGAAGAAATAGAAAATGCTGACAAAAATCATGGGGAAACTTTTCTTTGCCACTTCTTTAGGCTTCTTCGTCTTCTGCCTAAAACCCTGCAGCAGCGACTTGATTGTTCTCCTGTTGCCATCCTTGCTTCCCTTAAATCTACTTGCCGCCATCATCTTCCCAAAATACAGGTAAAGTCATGCCACTGCTAAACTCTGTAGGACTCCTATTGCCTCAGAATCAAGATTGTTTATTCTTCCTAGCCTGGCACTCAGAGCACCTATGATCCTGACGCAGTCTGACTCTCTCAAATTTAATTTCTAACATCTCTCCTTTCTTAACATTTCTTATAATCCAACCAAGCTGTAACACTTGCCTTTATGGGTTGGTGGTGGACAGGGTCCTAACCTGTGTTTTCCTGTCTCTGTCATGTTGCTAAAGCAATTCCTTTTTCTTGGAATGCCTTTTCATTGGTTCCTTCATGGCCAAATCCTCTCTCAAGCTACAGCTCAAATGCCACCTCCACATTAAATTGTTTTCTGATTTCCCAAATTATAAATAGATGTTTTTGTCTCTGAAATCCCATAGCCCTTTCTCTGTGCCTCCAAATTTGAATGCATGTGCGTGTATGTAACTTATATATAAAACATATAGTATGTGATACACATAGAATATTATATAATGTATCATATATTCTATTAAATTAAAATTATATAATTAAGTTATATAAAATTAAATATATATTAGTAAATATATATAAATTAAATACATTAACTTATCTATGAAATTAAATTACATAATTAAAAGGTTTTGGTATTGATGTAAGAATATCTATATAACTCAATGATAAAGAAGAGGGAACCCAGGCATGGGTTCAGTTGTATAATTTAGTATGAATTTAGTATATAGTAAAAGGGGCATTCAAATCAGCAATTGTCTATTCATTAACTATCTACAGAACTTTATATTATTTAAAAATAAATTCAGATGAATTAAAACCCCAAATATGAAAAAAGCTCATTATAGTGATATTGTAAAAATATGTATTCATGGGGTAGGTACGCCTGAAATTATACACATAGAAAAAAGTTAAAAGGAAAAAACATAGCTATAACAATTTAAATTTTAAAAATTCTGATTGGACAAAGTTAACCTAAGTAAAGCTTAAAGGTAAGAGATGTACTGGGGGCAAATATTTGTTACATAGACTGCAGAGGATTGGTATGAATAATAGGTAAAGAGCTTAAACAGTTCAATACCTTTAAAAAATGGCCCAATCAGAATAATGGATAAATGAGATAAGAAGGCTCATAGGTTCATAGACATACAAATGGCCAATGAACACAGGAAAAGATAGCAAGCCTCATTAATAATTCAGCAAAATAGGAAGCCATCTACCACATTCCTCTTTTAGCCCATACAGGTTGCAACGCATGAAAAAAGCTTACATAAAAATATTACATAATGGTGAGGGTGTGAAAAAGCAGTAACTCTCATATACTGTGGGTACGAATATAATTCATAAGGTTTATTTACAAAAGTAATTTATTAAGATTGGCTGAAAAGTAAAATGTGTAAACTCTTTGGTTTAGCAATTCCATTCTAGGAGTAGATCTTTTTCAAACGTGCACATATATACAAAACAGTAGAAACAGATGTTCATCAAGGGAGAAATGGCTAACCATTTATGCATATGCATACTATGGAATACTATGTAGCCATTTAAAAAGATACACTAGAGATATAAATATTGACATGAAAATTTGTCCCAGTCATATTATATACGGAAAAAACAAGATACGCACAGACATGAAGATAGATATGAATTATAAACTTTTTGGAAGAGTGAACACCAGTGGTTAATTTTGAGGAAAGTTATGAGATTAGGGGAGAATAAAAAGTTCACTTTTTATTTAGTCCTTCATTTTTATTGATTTATAGTTTGATTTTTGAAAAATGAGACATGAATATAACCTGATTTTGTAAATGATAAAATTAATATTTAAAAGGATAACTGGAACAACTAACCATCTGTTAAGCACCTAGGTTCAAAACTTCGTGATGTTCAAATGTTTCATCTCATCGAACCCTTGAGTAACCTGGTAAAGTATGTATTTTGTCATATTAGAGATCAAGCAACCTAGTTTTAGAGAGTTTAGATAACCACTGTCTGGACATATGAAGGGTAAGCTGTGGAGCCAGATAAGAACAAAGGCTGACTATTGGCAGAGGCCATATCCTTCACTGCAAAAGAGGGTGAGAGTGTTCAGTGAGAGGTATGTCCTGGAAGCTGGGGCTGGGTAGTCTAGAGGACGTGAAGCAGTCAAAGGTGGGAAGAGCCAGCGAGAAATGCAAGTACAAACCTTAGAAAACACCAAAAGAGCCGGGCGCTGTGGCTCACGCCTGTAATCCCAACACTCCGGGAGGCCAAAGTGGGCAGATCACCTGAGGTCAGGAGTTCGAGACCAGCCTGACCAACATGGTGAAAGCCCATCTCTACTAAAAATACAAAATTAGCTGGGTGTGGTGGCGCATGCCTGTAATCCCCGCTACTCAGGAGACTGAGGCAGGAGAATCGCTTGAACCCGGGAGGTGGAGGTTGCAGTGAGAGGAGATCCCACCATCACATTCCAGCCTGGGTGACAGAGCGAGACTCCATCTCGAAAAAAAAAGAAAAAGAAAAAAGAAAACACCAAAAGGCCAAAAGCAGAGGGGTGCAGATGAGCAATAATGTGAATCCTGCTCAGAGAGAGGCATTGTACCTATAATGGCTATGTGGTGTGAAGGTATGAAGTTAACTAGTTTTAAAAACATAGAGTCAATGCTCACAGAATTGCCCTATGGGAGAAGGATTTAATTTGTTCTGGGCACCCTATGGGGCATGGGGGAGAGAAGGGCAGAAATGGGCAGAAGCTCCTGGGAGGCAATGTATTAGTCTGCCTTCACGCTGCTATAAATAACTAGCTGAGACTGGATAATTTATGAATAAAAAAGGTTTAATTGACTCACAGTTTCTCATGGCTGGGGAGGCCTCAGGAAACTTACAATCATGTTGGAAGGCAAAAGGGAAGCAAGGACCTTCTTCACATGACAGCAGGAGAGAGAGAGAGAGTGAAGGAAGAACGGGCAAACACTTTTAAACCATCAGATCTCTTGAGAACTCACTCACTATTATCGGAACAACCTGGGGGAAACTGCCCCGTGATCCAGTCATCTCCCACCAGATCTCTCCCTTGATGCATGGGGATTACAATTCAAGATGAGATTTGGGTGGGGACACAGAGCCAAACCATATCAGGCAGACTTCAGCTCAATAAAATAAATACCCATAATTTTATTTCAACATTTCAGAGGACTTTGGAGGAAAAATAAAAAGCCTAGACCAACTGGGAAAGGAAGGCAATCTGTTACTCGGGAAGTCCTGCCTTGGGTAGGAGCCCTGTATGAAAAACCAAAGCATGACCTTGCAGGTGACTCTCTGTGTGCAAAGTCTATGTAAGTAGAACAGTGGGATATACCTTCGCATGAAAATGAACAGGTGTGGAATCCTGGTATCTCCTGGTATTGTTTTTTTTCTTCTTTTCCTGCCCAGCCCCTCCCACTCCCCACTTTTTATTTGGGAACTACTTTTCCCCAGTTGCATGCAGTTTTGGCAAATCCATCAGGATGCCTCCACCTCTCCTAAAATCCATGAAGCCAATCCCTCGTTCTCCCTGGAATTTGAATCTTTAGCAGAGCCACACAAAAACTGAATAAAATGGTTATAGGTTTTTTTCCGCACCCAAAAGATAGTGTCTTGAAGAGGCTATTTGTCTGGCTACCTTGGCCTGTCCTCTTGCAGGTCTGACCAGTTATAGAATATAGATAGCCACACTCTCACATTTCATTCCAATCTAGGTTGGCCAAAGTTGGTTTCTATAGCTTCTCACTAAAGCACCTTAACTGATACGGGAGGATTTACACATTACTAGTGCCCAGTATTGGTCATTCACTCTTTTAGTAATTCAGAGCCTTAGATGGGTCAGGCTCTGTGCTTGGCACTGGGGATTCAGAGCCCAAGGACCCCAGGCTCATGAGAAAAACAAGCCCCAAATGCTGAAGCAGTCAGTCCATGAGGCCCCTAAGCTATTCTAGGAGGTGGAGATTGTGAGGAGATAGTTCTAGAGGAGCTGACACTTGAATTGAGTCAAGAAGTAAACTTGCACTACCTCTGCTGCTTTCTCCATGCCACACACTGCACTCCACGTCAGCAAGCATATTTTCATTAGCTACTCAGTGCCAGTGAATGTGTGTCCCTGAAAGTGCCAGTGTGATTAAAAGACTTCAATAGATTTTTATGGGAAAGTTGAGGAAGCTACACATTTAGAAAGTTTAGAAAGTGCCACATTCTTCGGGAGAATGATTATGAATTTCAAAAAAAAAAACAAAACAGAAAATGAACCCCTAGAGTCCAACCCCATTCTGATTTAGAGACACAGAAGTCACTGCATAACTGCATGCTTTTTATTACAAAGATAATTGATAAAATATAAAACACACCGGTAACAATTACAGATACGACCCAAATGCGGTCACATGGGGTAGCTTTGTCTGAATGTAGTGGAAAGGGGCATATTAACTCCTTGACATCAACATTGTCCATCCTACATATTTAACACCTTGTATATCTGTGTCTCATTAGTTAAGACTTCGCTTCCAAAATTTCATGACACAGCAGGCCTAAATTTTCCCCTTTGCCAATAAATAGCTGTATGAACAACTTTGGACAAGGCCCTTGAGCTTTCTGAGTTTCACTTTTTTTCAATTGCTAAATGGGGACTTGTTTGCCATTGCCATAGCAGTATAATGAAGATGAAGGCAAACAGATATAAATATTAAGATTAGTCTTGAAAGGTTCCAAGAAATCAACAGGTATAGTAGGCAGAATAATGTCCCCTACCCCAGAATATGTCCATGTTTTAATCGCTGGAAGCCATGAATCTGTTACTTTATGTAGAAAGAAGAGACTTTACAGATGTGATTCAGGTTAAGGACCTCAGGTTAGGAGATTGACCTGGATTTTCCAGTTGAGTCCAATCTAATCCTGAGTCCTTAGAAACAGAGAACCTTTCTTTCCTGGCTGTGGTCAAAGGGAGATGTGACTACTGAAGAATGGTCAGAGGGATGTGATCTGGGGACTCAACCTACTGATGTTGCTGCCTTTGATGATAGAGGGAGGGGCCATGAGCCAAGAAATGTGGGCAGCCTCTAGGAGCTGGAAAAGACAAGGAAACAGATTCACCCCTTGGAGACTCCAGAAAGAAATGCTGCCCTTCTGATACCTTGACCTTAGCCAGTGAGACCCGTGTGGGATTTCTGATCTCCAGAACTGTGAGATAACAAATTTGCCTTATGATAAATTTGCCTTGGTGTAAGCCACAAAGTTTGTGGTCATTTGTTACAACAACAATAGAAAACTAACAAAATGGGGGAATGTTTTGAAAAGGGAAGCATGAGCAAATACCATAAGAGAGAATGGTGGCTTCCAATAACTGCAAGGAATTCCATGCTGCCGGAATGTAAATTGTATGTGGGTGAAAAAAACAAGAGATGGGCTGGAGAGTATGAGATCCTTAATAATAGCAGTTATAACAATGGCAGCAACAACATTCAGTGGGCAATTAGTGTGTGTCAGATACACATATGAGCATTTTACCTGTGTTAATTCTAAAATTCAAAGCCATCCTATAAGGTAGTCACTTTTTTTTTCCTTTTTTTTTTTTTTTTTTTTTTGACAGAGTCTCACTTTGTTGCTCAGGCTGGCGTGCAGTGGTGCAATCTCAGCTCACTGCAACCTCTGCCTCCCAGGTTCAAGTGATTCTCCTGCCTCAGCCTCCCGAGTAGCTGGGACTACAGGCGTGTGCCACCACGCCCAGCTAATTTTGTATTTTTAGTAGAGACGGGGTTTTACCACATTGGCCAGACTGGTCTCGAACTCCTGACCTCAAGTGAGCCAGCTGCCCTGGACTTCCAAAGTGCTGGGATTACAGGCATGAGCCACCGTGCCTGGCCAGTAGTGACTGTTATTATCTCCACTTACAGATGGGGAAACCAAGTCACAGAGAAGGCTAAGTAAGTTGCTCAAGCTTAACATGTACAGTGCAACCATGCTAGGATTTCATTCCTGCAGTCTGGCTCTGTCTCCTCTCTAATCTCACCCCTGCAAAGGGCAGTGTGGAGGCCTTGAGGGAGTTTATACAGGAGAATGACAATCAGAACTGAGGTTCAGGGAGATCAGCCTGGTGAATGAATTTCAGGGAAATAAAACATCATTCCTGTATTACTGGCTCCCTCTCTGTGCTGGTCTTGTTTATCATGGAGGGAGAGCAGCGTGTGTGAGCAGATAGGCAACTAGAAAAGGCTAAGAGGGAAAAAAAGAAAGTTGAGGAAAATGAAACAGAGAAAGCCAAAGAGATATTTCTCGAGGATGGACAAATCTGCTGCAGACCTTTCCGGTGAAATGTATTATTATTTCACAACTCTCAACACCTTTGTTCTTCCTCCCTTAGAACAAGAAAGCAGCAGAATCATTTCCTTGGTCCACACTCTATGTCACTAGCGGTCAGTTGAAGTGTGTGTGTGTGTGTGTGTGCGCGCGCGTGCGTGTGACACTGGCAGTCAGTTGTGTGTGTGTGTGTGTGTGTGTGTGATTCTTAAAGACCAAAATGTTTTCAGATACTAGCTGCCACATTGTCAGGTCACTTTAAAAGAAGCAGGATCAGTTGACCTTGCAGGGGATCCCACTGGCTATTCCTGCCATACCACAGGGGCATTCTGGTTCCCACAGCTCAGAATTCCTCTATTCACTCATCAGTCTTGTTTTCTTTCTTTTTTTTTAATTTTATTATTATTATACTTTAAGTTTTAGGGTACATGTGCACAATGTGCAGGTTTGTTGTATATACATGTGCCATGTTGCTGTGCTGCACCCATTAACTCGTCATTTAGCATTAGGTATATCTCCTAATGCTATCCCTCCCCACTCCCCCCACCCCACAACAGACCCCAGTGTGTGATGTTCCCCTTCCTGTGTCCATGTGTTCTCATTGTTCAATTCCCACCTATGAGTGAGAACATGCTGTGTTTGATTTTTTCTCCTTGCGATAGTTTGCTGAGAATGATGGTTTCCAGCTTCATCCATGTCCCTACAAAGGACATGAATTCATCCTTTTTTATGGCTGCATAGTATTCCATGGTCTATATGTGCCACATTTTCTTAATCCAGTCTATCATTGTTGGACATTTGGGTGGGTTCCAAGTCTTTGCTATTGTGAATAGTGCCGCAATAAACATACATGTGCATGTGTCTTTATAGCAGCATGATTTGTAATCCTTTGGGTATATACCCAGTAATGGGATGGCTGAGTCAAATGGTATTTCTAGTTCTAGATCCCTGAGGAATCGCCACACTGACTTCCACAATGGTTGAACTAGTTTACAGTCCCACCAACAGTGTAAAAGTGTTCCTATTTCTCCACATCCTCTCCAGCACCTGTTGTTTCCTGACTTTTTAATGATTGCCATTCTAACTGGTGTGAGCTGGTATCTCATTGTGGTTTTGATTTGCATTTCTCTGATGGCCAGTGATGATGAGCATTTTTTCATGTGTCTTTTGGCTGCATAAATGTCTTCTTTTGAGAAGTGTCTGTTCATATCCTTTGCCCACTTGTTGATGGGGTTGTTTGTTTTCTTATTGTAAATTTATTTGAGTTCATTGTAGATTCTGGATATTAGCCGTTTGTCAGATGAGTAGGTTGCAAAAATTTTCTCCCATTCTGTAGGTTGCCTGTTCACTCTGATGGTAGTTTCTTTTGCTGTGCAGAAGCTCTTTAGTTTAATTAGATCCCACTTGTCAATTTTGGCTTTTGTTGCCATTGCTTTTGGTGTTTTAGACATGAAGTCCTTGCCCATGCCTATGTCCTGAATGGTATTGCCTAGGTTTTCTTCTCGGGTTTTTATGGTTTTAGGTCTAACATATAAGTCTTTAATCCGTCTTGAATTAATTCTTGTATAAGGTGTAAGGAAGGGATCCAGTTTCAGCTTTCTACATATGGCTAGCCAGTTTTCCCAGCACCATTTATTAAATAGGGAATCCTTTCCCCATTGCTTGTTTTTGTCAGGTTTGTCAAAGATCAGATAGTTGTAGATATCTGGCATTATTTCTGAGGGCTCTGTTCTGTTCCATTAGTCTATATCTCTGTTTTGGTACCAGTACCATGCTGTTTTGGTTACTGTAGCCTTGTAGTATAGTTTGAAGTCAGGTAGCGTGATACCTCCAGCTTTGTTCTTTTGGCTTAGGATTGACTTGGCAATGTGGGCTCTTATCTCAAAATAATAAGA